>NC_000011.10:97172424-97475454 GCF_000001405.40 Homo sapiens | reverse complement strand
ATCTTTTGAACATAAGTCCAGGTCAATTTTGAGGTGAGTTCTCAAGTTATATGTATAGCCATATAATACTTTTCCCTATTACTGACACCATTTATTTTTCACTGGATTCTTGAGTCTTTGTTGGAGTATTTCACTTTGTTTCTTATGACTACGCTTTAATTTTCAAACAAGTTCTACTTACTGTTCCCTGGTTCTTGTTTTTCTGTACCTGACACTCTGACACATTCCTCTCTTAATAAACCCTACCGCTTAATGTTTATTTCCTTAATTTCAGCCAATTCTACTTCTTACACCTTCTTGTTGTGTGTTCTACCATCTGCCTAGACTGTTGTCTGCCACCATTATACTTTGTTGATGCTACCCTGTGAATGTCTGGATGTCCTCATGTTGCCTGCTTAGATCTTCTCAGATGCTTGCCAGCTTTCTTCACGTTGAGGTCACAGCTTTCCATCAGGGCATTTCATGGCTTAATTGGGTCTTGATTCTGACATAAGGCTTTTCAAGCACCCTTTTCAGATAATTATTTGACATTTAAAGGAAAATTTTTCTTAAAAAACACTGTTGCAGAAGTCCTAATGTAACTGTAAATTGAATAACTGAAAAAAATGTAGAGAACAGTTTGAGTTTCATTTCTAGGTGCTAATTTGGTATTTTTTTGTGCTCAAACTTCCAAAGCCTCAGTTGAAACCAGAGTAGACCTCAGTACCCAGCAAGGGAGATATCATTTTGTTAAGTTAGAGGTGTCAAAGACAAAGCAAGACAGGGTAATAAAGGCACCTAGGTGTGCCCATGGAGGACACTGAAAGGTGATATGTATAAAGAGGGAGGAAATGGATCTAAAGTTGTCAACATAAATGGGCATTATAATAACACAAAAATTGTCATTTACATATTTATTACCTCTGATTCATTCATCCTTTTACTGACCAGCTACTCAAGATGTATTATATGACAGAAACCATGATGGCAGTGAGAATACAGCAGCAAATATGAATAATATAGTCACTTACCTTCTGTCTAAGAAGACGTTAAACAATATGTAAATAAGTATTTTTAAATGTCACGTGAAGGAGAATTACAGGATGAATATATATATGACAGTACGCTGATTTTGCCTAGAAGGTTGAGTAAGTGACAAGGTAAAACCAGAAGGATGAATAAGCATGCGTACCACCATTGCCAACCCGTCCAGATGGAGAAAAATAGCGTATGTCTCCAAGAACTAAAGTTAAGTGAGGCAAATCATATTGAAAATGGGACATAAGATGGAAAATTACATGGGACAATCCTTTTCTCATATCAGAAGTTACGTTCTTCTCTATTCCTTAGTATTATAAACATGTGTTTATATTTAGTTAATATAGCTCTTAGAAATATGTGTTATGTCATTGAGTTCTCTTCACGAGTTCTTTTATCTTTATAATTTATTTGTCAAAGAACCCAGATTGCCTGTCCTAAAATCTTTCATATTCTGAATTTTTTCATTAATCCTTATAATATCACACATCACTTTTTTTCTTAGACATAGTATTCCTGTATTTCTAAGTTTGTATTCTATTCGCAGCATGATCTGCTTAATAAAGCCTTTTTAAAATAAATGATTAAAGTAGATTAGTTATTTTTAATTAATAGGAAAAATTGTGTATATTTATATCATATGACACAATGTCCTGATACATATATACATAGTGGAATGGCTACATCCAACTATTTAACATATGCATTACCTCACATATTTATCTTTTTTTGTGTTAAGAACACTTAAAATCTACTCTCAGCAAATTTTAAGTAGAACAATGGCATGTCCTTTGACTATCATCTCTCCAATCCCAGTCCCCCAGCCTTTATTAAGGACTATTTTATTGTCTGTTTCTCTGAGTTTGACTTTTAAAATTTGGTTGAATTTTACAGTTCATAGGACCCAGACTGCCCAAATACAGTCTAACCTTACCACAGTTCCTTTGCATTTTTCTCCCAATTTTTTTGATGTCTTCTCTGGTTGGCAACTGAATTTAAGTGATTTGTGGCTTCTCTTACTCTCAGGGCCTAAATTCATTTTGCCTTTTTTACTGTTTTCTCATAACTTGATGATACCACAGCAACTCATTGTCTCAGTAATTTGTCACCATACCTTTGTATTTTGGAGTTTGTTGGGATAACTTGTCACCTAGTGGTATTACAGGAATTAAAGCTTTTATGTGTATTTATATTGCCTGTCTCCTGAAAAATTAATGTAGTTATTATTTTTAATAATTTTTATTTCAGTCTTCATACCAAATTTATAAGTAGTTTATGATCCATGTTTACAGTATTAGAATATTGTGGGTTTGTCTTTATAATTACTGGTACCAGCAGTGAGTTTTATATCTTCAGATGTTTTCTTGTTATACTTTAGCATCTGTTTCTTTCAGTTTGAAGAACTCCCTTAAATATTTCTTACAAGATAGATCTGTGGTGATAAATTCTCTCAGCTTTTGTTTTTCTGGGAAAGTCTCAATCTCATCTTCATTTCTGAAAGGTTGGTTTGCTGGGTACAATATTCTTGGTTGACAAGTGTTTTGTTTTTTCTTTAGCCCTTTGAACATATCCCACTCTCCTGGCCTGTAACATTTGTGCAAAGAAGTCTGCTGCCAGACAAATCAAAACTCTTTTGCAGAACAATATGCTGTTATCTTGCTGCTTTAAGAACCCTCTCTTTTTCTTTGACCTTGGATTATTTTATTACAATATGTCTTGGGTTAGAACTGTTTGTATTGAATCTGACTGATGACTTTTGGCTTTCCTGTACTTGGATGTTTGTATACTTCTCTAGATTTTGAAAGTTCTCTGTTATTGTCTCTTTGAATAAGCTTTCTACCCTTTTGGCATTCTCAAATTCTTTTTGAACCCTAATAACTCAAACTTTCAATTTTTTGGTGCTGTTCCATAATTTCTTTTAGGCCTTCTTTTTTCCTTTTTACTCATTTTTTTTTCTTTTTCTCCCACTGTGTATTTCCAAATGCTGTCTTTGAGTTCACTAATTATTTTGCTTGATAAATTCTGCTGTTGATGCCTTCTACTACATTTTTTATTTGCTTTATTGTATTTTTCAGTTCCAGGATTTCTGTTTGAGTTTTAAAAAGTATTATGTTGGTGAAAAAATAACTGCAATTTTGCCATTAAAAGCAATATATCTTCCTACTTTCTCCTGGTTTGCAAGGTTTCTGCTGAGAAAAATCTCCATTTGTGTATGGTTGGTTACTGGTGTTTTATTATTATTTTTCTTTCATTGGGGTAATATTTTCCTGATTGATTCTTGTGGCCATGCATTGATGTCTGCACATTTGAGAAAGTAGGCATCCATTCCTATATTTATAGATTAGTGTCAGTAGGAAAAGCCCTTCAGCCACATCTCATCCAGAGATTGTGCTCAGAACATCTAGTATGATCTGTGAGTAAGCTTGCTGCTTATGTCCTTGGACATGCTGTCACGATGTCTGAGTCATCAGGTAGGTGAATCTGATACCTGGGTCCACAGGGCTGGTCCTGTACTTTGGGCTCACTGGAGCCGGGGACCACAAGGACTAGCCTGGAGATTTAATCTGCAGGTGCTGGCCTGGTGCCTAGGGTAGGGGCTTTGTCAAGGTTGAGTCCTTGTGGACCTACCTACAGTCTAGGCATGCTGGGGCTAACCTAAAGCCTTCAGACACTGCATCAGGTCTAGTACTCAGACTGGCCTGAAGCTTGGGTCCATGGTGGCTGGCCTCGTGCTTGGCTCTATTGGAATGGGCCTAGACCCAGGATCTGCTGGGGCCTGGGATAAGATATGCTACCTGGCACTAAGCAGGCATGAAGCTTGCAGGGGCTAGCCTTGAGCTTGGGTCCATATATACCAACCAGCCTGCACTAAGGTAGGTCTAGAGGCTGACTGGTCTGTGGGTGGCAGCTCAAAGTCTAGGGCTATAGGCATCAGTTTGGCACTGGGAGAGGCCTAAAGGCTGGGGCCAAAGAGGCTGCCTTGTTGCAGGGGCCAGTCTGGAGCCTTGGTTGAGCCTGGAGCCTGAGTCCTCAGAAGCTGGCCTGGAGCCTGGGGCTCTGGCACTTCCTTGAGTGGGCCTGGAGCCACTAGATCTGGACAGGCTTTTGGGTAGTCTTGAAGACTGAGGCTGGGGCATCAATTTGGAGTTTAAGGGGATGGCTTAATATGGGTACAAGCATGGAACCTCAGTACACAGATGACATCTTCAAGCTAGGTTTTACTGTTGTGGCCTTGGTGTGGGTTTCATCGCAAAAACCAGTGCTCACTTTGTTCTCCTTCCCTCGTGGGAAACATATCTGTCTCAAATTGTGTTGCACACGTTTGATGGAGGAGTGACTTTGGTAATGTAAAATTGTCCTTCCTACTTCTTCAATGCACAGTTCTTTATTTTTGTATTTTAGCCTGGTGCTATAATCTCTCATGTGGATTCCTTAGCTCTTGTGAAGGTATTTTAGCATGTGAACTGTGATTCAAATTGATATTTCTTCTAGGAAATGAGTACTGAAAGTCTTATTCTGCCATCTTGCTGAAGTCATTCACTAGAATTTTTAAGTGTGATAGTGGTATAAGACAGTGAAAACTAATGTCTTTATTTTTAGTGATGTGTGACAAAGTATCAAAATAGGTATAATTTACTTTGAAAGGTTTCAAGAAAAGAGAAAGTATAATGAGAGAAAAAGATAAAGAAAATATGGCAAAATGTTAAATTATTAATTTTGGGTAGTAGATGTATGGGTGTTCATTGTCCTGTTTCTTATATTGAAAAATGTATAGTCATATTGTTTTGTGGGGACAGAGAGGGGAAGATACAGATTGGCGAGGGAGTGCTGGACAGTGGAGCATGTTCATTGCTTATGGTATCCATCATTCCCTTTACCATCTTCATTTGTATTCTAAATTGTTTCCTGAGTTGAGGTTGGATTCCAGGTTGAATGCTAGGATATGTAGGTTGTTGTTGCCTATGAAGCCATAGGTTGTTTTAACGAACTTTGTTATGGGCTGTGTCACTATGGAGAGGCTGCAAGCTATGGTGGATCTTGGTTTCAGCTAGATCCGTGGGTAACTACACAAGAAGATCACCATACCATTGAATGACCTGAACTTAGTTCTTACAATTATGGGTTTATATGAGTGTCAGTAGTATGTTCTTCTGTCTTCAGCTTTTTTAAGAGTTTCCTATTTTTGTTGAGATTTTATATAAGGAGGAAAAAAAAACTAGTTCAAACTATTGCTAAAATGATTCAGGAAAAAAATAAAACCCTTTGTAAGTCTATTTCTTATCAAAGCATTTGGCAGAATCAGGGTCATCTTTAGAAAATACTAGACTTGAGAAAAAGTCATAAGAAAAAAGGAATTTGGAGCCAAAATATAAAAACCTGAAGAAGACCAAGTCAACTCCTAAAGAGAGAATAACTTCCCAAGAGCAATAATTGAATGAAGAGAAGTACAGATGCACAGAACAAGGAAAGTTGATGGCTAAGATTATGAGAATGATCTCATCACTAGATGATGACTGTTATGACTTATAATATGATGACATATTACAAGTAGTTTTTCTAAACAGAACATCTGGCCAAGAATAATCCTCTTCAAGATCTTTAATCAAAAATATTGGGGGATATATTAATCTAAAAATAGGGCTTTTTTTTCCCCTCCATTCCATGCTCCCATGCTACCAGTTTATGTTTAGGGAGCTCCATGGAATAAGCTTACCATACCAACACATCCTGAAAAGAGAATTTCCTTCTCAGTTAATTCAACTTTCAAATCAACTAGTCTCTTGAAACCTCACCAAAAAATTTGAGTTTTTATAGGCTTTCCTCAATAGGAATTTTATCTCTTATCAGTTTAACAAATCGATGACTCGTAAGAGATTATCACTTGCTTAAATTGAAGCAGAATGGAATAGCACTTACAGCATTTTATAATTGTTTTTATATGAAATTTACAAATGATTTCTGCGTTATTTATATCCTTTAGTATAAATACTTTTTAAAAATGTTAATCAGTACTCTATTGTAACTTCAATAGTGTTTTACACGTGCAATTTGGCAGTAGGAGATACAAAACAGTGATGGCAATTTAGGTGTGCTGAAAACAGTTTTTACTATAATTGAATAACAAATGTAAAGGTAATATGATTCATATCTCAAACAGTAATTGTTTAGAAAACATGAAATAAAAATACTATACATCATAACTCTAGGATACATCTAAATTAGTATACTTAATGAGAAATTGATAATATTAAATGTTTACATGCCAAAAAAGTAGAAAAGTTAATGAAAAAAGTGTACTATTTAAGAAATTATACCCTTCAAAATAAGTTCAAGGTAAAGTAAAAGAAGATAATGATAGAATTAATCAAATATAAAATAAATATGACAAAGGATCAACAAGTTAAAATTACATTATTTGGAAAAATAAAGTGCATAAAACTAGTTAGAATTTTTAATGAGTGAAAAACATAATGAAACAATGTTAGGAAATAAAAGCAGATAAAGCCAATATTTAATATATAATAAAATATTCCAAATAAATGTATGCCAATGAAATCGAAAATATTCATAGTTACAGAGAAATCTTAGTATTCTATTGAGTGAAATCTTAGTATTCTATTGAGTGAAAAAAATAGTTATGGAGGAAGATTTATACTACATCATAATGTATATAAATTTAAAATATATATGTAGAGATCCCAAGATAATCTTTAAAAATATATGACCAGTTAAGGGTCTCTGTCTAGTACAACAGCATGGGTGATTAAAGCAAGAGTAAGGTAGATTTTTAGGGAGATTGTTGAGGTAAGAATTTGGTATGAAAATTTATAGCACAAAACAGGGCTTTGAAAAAATTACATGTGTATTATGAATCAAGGAGTATACACTGTTCAACACAGTGTACCTGTGGTGCATAAGCAATTTTAAAAAAGAAAAATTAAAATTTCCAAGCAAGACTACCAGTAAGTGCACACTAGATTCCATGGGACCCTAATTGTTGGAGAGGTTTACAGGGGGATTAATCAGGGCTCAGATAAGAATGGAATACTGGAATAGAGAGCTAGAAGAGCTTACAGAGGCCTGGGACTGAGGCTCTGGAACTAAGGGAGTATGTACAAGGCATGGATCTGGGTTTTAAAATAGTGAGCACTGAACTCAGAGAGCAGCTCTTGCATATCTTCGTGTAAAAAGATATCCTGCAGAAATCTTTGATACAAGCCTAAGGTGGTACACTCACAAAAAGAATTACATCTTATTGTTAGCAGTTGACTAGAGTTGAACCTGATTAACGCTGAAGTGGTTAATATGGGGAATGTGAAGTTCTCTAATATACAACCAATATGTTAGAATCATTGGCCTCCTACCCAAGGAGGTACTTTTGAACAAACTGAAGGACCTGAGGCAGTTGGAAGAGAAAGTTTCAGTTAGACGAACAGCCAAAGGGCACCCATATCAAAGTCCAGGGGCTGAGCTGACTTCAGTTGAGAATTCTACCCACAGGTAGATGAAATACGGTGTCCCCAAAGCGGGCCAGCAAAATGAGTCAGTAAGAAGTAGAACTTCCATTCAGGGACAGAAGTCCTGGGAAGTTTCCACGTATACTCAAGAGGCCCAGGCTAATGGTATGTGAACTTCCCACAAAGACTCCTAGGTCTGAGAAATGTTATCTTGCAGTGCTTGTTTCTGGAATGCAGCTTTACCCATCATCTACAAAAGCAGCTCTTTACAGAGTCCTCTTAATCATCAGTGGGGTTGTTAGATTTGTTCCTCTTCATGGAATGGTTTGTTACCGAGAGAACTTGGGTCCTTTTGGCAGTCTCGTCTCACACACAGCCCTAAGACGGCGTCTAATTTTTTTGGAATATTCTTGGCGCTTTTCCCCTAAAGATCAAGGCCTTGAGGGCTAATCTGAAATGTTATTCATGGAAAAACCCTGAGTCTTCGGTACCCTCAAAGAGTGCCACATTCCTATTTATTGATTGATTGATCAGTATATAATCTTAGGTTAAGGATTTATTCTAAAGGTCCAGGGCCACTTTCGCTTCCAACCACAGGTCTCACATACATAGAACTTAATATTTACAAAGCTAAAAAGAAGTATGGTCAAAATATTAAACAATGTGATTAACATTGTTGCTACAACGGAATATCAGATTAGAATCTGAGCAGCCAAAATGCAAAATATGTCACCAGAAATTGTAGGGCTTTTTTCAGAAAGTAGAAAACACACCATTTTCTCAGTGGAAAGAAAGTGACTAGTACTTAAACTCATTTTTTCAAGGGATCTAATATACAACATTGGAACTACAAAGTAGATAAAAGATCTTATCACCTTTATAGAGCAAATGCAGAATAAATTTTCATATGGCTGTTTTTGTTAATGGATCTCAATAAAAGCTAAGGTTATGATAAAAGGCAGCTCAGTGAAAGAGAATTTATAAAGTGATAAGCTAACAGAGCATTGCCCTTCTTCTGATACTGAAAAATTGCAGGGTCCTAATCATTTATCTTGTGTTTGAGAATCCTTATAGACTCTACTAAATCATATCTACTTAATTTATTCGAATATTGGTGAGAGTTTTAGAAAAACGTGTAACAGTTTACCATAGCAGTGTTGATTCTGAGGCAGGGGTGGGGGTCAGGGAGACAAAGATAATGAGAGAATAGTGGAGAATTACGTGAGAAATTTTAAAGAACACATGTGAAGGGGTAGGCTCCAAGCTCTTAAAAGGAGTAAGTACCCTTAAAGGAATGCTATTTTTTCCTCAAAGAATAAAAGAAAGAGAAAATGTATGATAATCTTTAAAACAACTTGAAATAGAGACCAGGATGTAATAAATTCACATTTGCTTGTGTTGCCTCATCACTAATCTTTGGAGAATAATGTTGGGGAGTTAAAGTTAAAGGCTGGAAAACTGGAAAAAAAAAACCAGAATCTTCTGGTTTGGTTTGTGTATTCTCTCTTAAGCTCGGGTTTGGGAAATGTCAGTTCTGTGTTTTTTTCTCTCTTTAAGAGATTGCATTTTATTTTGTTCACCTATACAATGTCTTGCTTGAATTGGATAAATAGATTTCTAGGATATTAGACAACTTAGAAATAATTCTATGTATTTGGATGAAATGGTTATTTACATTCTGCCTATGTTCGTGAGAATGTAAGCTTCATGACATTAAGGATTTTGTGTGTGTGTGTGTGTGTATGTGTGTGTGTATACAGCTACCAGCACAGTTTCTAGATATTTTATAGCACATGGTAGATACCCAGTACAAATTTGTTGAATACTTGAATTAATTCATACAATACCCTCCCAACAAATTGAAACCCAATATTTACTTGTGCACCTTTATTTTTATTTTAGTTTTGTCAGGTATCCAGATCTCATTCTTCTGTTCCCAACTTTCATTTTATGTTTATAAATATTTCAGTATTTTTCATCAGGGCATTGCATTGCATTAATAACAGGGTTCTTGATTTTTGCATAAAATCCATTAATGCAGTATAATCATTTAAAATGATCTAATAACTTTTTAACAGTACACTGTTTTGAGATCACATTTAGAACAACAGTATTCTTTTTTTAGTGCTGCATCATGCTTATATGTCTTTGTGCTTTTATCAAAGTTGAATAAAGCTTTAAAATGTTTTCAGTGAATTGCTAATTTATGATTTCTGAAATCATTACTGTTTATTTTACCAACATTTTTGGGTTGAAGCAGCCATTCAACTCTAGAGTTCTTTTTAGAAAAAAATAAAGAATACAGATGGTTGTGTAATACACAAGTTCTCTACTAAAAAGAAATGATATTCTCAAGTTAGGGTAACTATTATATTTACACAAATATGTGCACATGCTCTAGTGAAACCCCAAAAGATAGTAGAGTATAATCACTGAGGATGATACTGTATTTTAGCTGCCATGGAAATGCACCTTTTGGATCTCATTTAAAAGAAACTACTGTAGGAAGCATAAAAAATGACAGATCCAGCTTCATATTATTGTATCCAATACCACATTTTTTTGTACCAAGGCCACATTTCCCTTTGGCTGCCCCTAGCCAATGTCTGAGCATGGTAGCTGCACAAGTGTTGACCAATTGTTATGAAGTGTGGGACTCCTCTAATGGGAAATTTTGGTTAGGAGACTCTCTACCAGTGTGGCTAAATTTTTCTAAGAATTGTGCTTTAATTTGAAACTCGTCCTACCCATCCTCCTTTCTTTCCCTTGTCCTTGCACAGGTATCAGACCTACATCATATCCTGAGTTCCCCTGATTGACTTATCCTTTATAGAAATCACCCCCTTTAAATCTCTTGCATGTTGTGTTAGTCCACTCTCATGCTGCTAATCTACAACTACCCAAGACTGGATAATTTATAAAGAAAAGAGATTTAATTGACTCACAGGTCAGCCTGACTCAGGAGGCCTCAAGAAACTTACAATCATGGCAGAAGGGGAAAAAAACACATCCTTCTTCACATGGCAGCAGCAAGGAGAGGTACATAGCAAAGTTGGGGGTAAAGCTCCTTATAAAACCATCAGAACTTGGAGAACTCACTATCACAAGAACAGAATGGAGGTAACCACCCTCATGATTCAACTACCTCCTGCTGAATCACTTCCATGACATGTGGGGATTATGGGAACAACAATTCAAGACGAGATTTGGGTGGGGTCATAGAGCTAAACCATATTATTCCACCCCTGGCCCCTCCCAAATCTCATGTCCTCACATTTCAAAACACAATTACGTCTTCCCAACAGTCCCCCAAAGTCTTAACTCATTCCAGCATTAGCTCAAAAGTCCAAGTTCAAAGTCTTATCTGAGACAAGGCAAGTCCATTCTGCCTATGAGCCTGGAAAATCAAAAGCAACTTAGTTACTTCCTAGATAAAATGGAGGTACAGGCATGGGGTAAACACACACATTCCAAATGGGGGAAACTGGCCAAAAAAGAGGGGCCACAGGCCCCAGGCATGTCTGAAATCCAATAGGGCAGTCATTAAACCTTAAAGTTCCAAAATGATCTCCTTTGACTCCATGTCTCATATCCAGGTAATACTGATGCAAGAGGTGGGGGCTCCCATGGCCTTCAACAGCTCCACTCCTGTGGCTCTTCAGGGCATAGCCGCACACTGGGCTGATTTCATGGGCTGGCATTGAGTGTCTACAGCTTTTCCAGGCATCCAGTGCAAGCTGTCAGTAGGTCTACCATTCTGAGGTCTGGAGGACAGTGGCCCTCTTCTCATGGCTCCACTAGGCACTGCCCCACTGAAGACTGTGTGGAGGCCCCAACCCCACATTTTCCTTTTGCACTGCCCTAGCAGAGATTCTCCATGAGGGCTCCGCCCCTGTAGCAAACTTCTGCCTGGACATCCAGGTGTTTTCATATGTCCTCTGAAATCTGCAACCTCAATTCTTGTCTTCTGCACACCTGAAGGACCAATACCATGTGGAGCTGCCAAGGCCTGGGCTTGCACTTTCTGAAGCCATAGCCCAAGCTGTACCTTGGCCCTTTTTAGCCATGGCTGGAGTGGCTGGGACACAGTCCTGAGGCTACACACAGCAAGGGGGTTCTGAATCTGGCCCAGGAGACCATTTTTCCATCTTAGGCCTCTGGGCCTGTGATGGGAGAGGCTGGTGTAAAGGTCTCTGACATCTCCTGAAGACACATTCCCCAGTATCTTGGTAATTAACATTCTGCTTCTGATTACTTATGCAAATTTCTGCAGCTGGCTTGAATTTCACCCCAGAAAATGAGCTCTTATTTCCTACCACATGGTCAGGCTGAAAATTTTCCAAACTTTTATGCTTGATTTCTTCTTGAATGCTTTGCCACTTCAAAATTTCTTCTGCCAGATACTCTAAATCATCTCTCTCAAGTTCAAAGTTCCATAGATCTCTAGGGCAGGGGCAAAAGGCTGCCAGTCTCTTTGCTAAAGAAAGAATCACCTTTACTCCAGTTCCCAACAAGTTTCTCATCTCCTTCTGAGACCACCTCAACCTGGACTTCATTGTCCATATCACTATCAGCATTTTGGTCAAAGCCATTCAACAAGTCTCTACTAAGTTCCAAACATTCCCATATTTATATTTATTATTAGCTCACCAAGTCTCTAGGAAGTTCAGAAGTTTCCCAAATTTTCCTGTCTTCTTCTGAACCCTCCAAACTGTTCCAACCTTTGCCTGTTTCCCAGTTCCAAAGTGACTTTCATACTTTTTGGTATCTTTACAGCAGTGCCTCACTCCCTGGTACCAATTTAGCATATTAGTCTGTTCTCATTCTGCTAAGAAAGAACAGTCTGAGACTGGGTAATTTTTAAAGGAAAGAGGTTTAATTGGCTCACAATTCAGCATGGCTGGGGAGGCCTCTGGAAACTTACAATCACGGTGAAAGGGGAAGCAAACATGTCCTTCATCACATGGTGGCAACAAGGAGAAGTGCAGATGAAAGCGGGGGAAAGCCCTTATAAAACTATCAGATCTCATGAGAACTCACTCACTATCACAAAAACAGCATGGAGGTAACCATGCCCATGATTCAATTACCTCCCACTGGGTCCCTCCCATGACACATCTGGTTTATGGGAACTATAATTCAAGATGAGATTTGGATGGGGACACAGCCAAACCATATCACATGTCTAATTCCATTTTGGCACATACTTCTTGGAAGACTGAAGTGACATCATCTTCTAAGTTTTAATGATAATAGGAAGGAGAAGTTAGTGGAACATAAAGCCATTTTGTGAAAAATTGAGATCTTCAGAGCATAAAGCAGCTCAACAGGGAGGAACTTAGGGACATAACATTTTACCCCCGATTTCTTCCCTCATTTCTGACAATTCCCAATGGCAGAAGCTCACTGAAGCCAGCAGGTGAGGCAGCCCATTCATGCTATTCTCACAGGCCTCCAAAGGTAGAAGAATTGTAGAGAAGGAGAGAAAACACATCAGGAGAACCACACAGAAGACACTGAGTTCAGCACATAAAAAGGGAGGCAGAAACTCCCTTAGGAGTTAGGGAGTAAAAACTGCCTTTCTAGTAATTTTTTATTTCTCCCTTAGAGTATGAAATCATAAGCATAAAATTGTTCTGTCACAGGACCCTTGGAGTGTTGCTTCACCAGCTAGAAACCTTTTTTGCTGGTGGCGCCTTTGCCCCAGTTTTGCTTGGACCTGCAGGGCTTGTTCCGTCCACTCTGCCTGGCAGACTACGCTCAGCTCAGGTTACTGGCCTGGATCCCATGTCTGCCAAGGCTGAGCGAGGTGCAGAGATGCAAAGGTGCATGACTGAGCGAGCGCAGTGTCTGGCCTCTCAGTTTCCTCAGACACACTGGCTGTGGTGGGGCAGGCTGCTCTAGGTGCTGGCTCCCTGCGAGGCTGCTGCGGCTGGAACAGGTGTACTACAAGCGGCTTCCTCTGCTGGCACTGGGGAATGAAGTGGCTCCTGGAAGCTTGGAGACAACAGGAACTGAAGAGCTCCAAAGAGGGTGTCACAGCCCTGGCTCAGGGAGCTCCTAGGTCTGGTCTCACTGAGGGGCCAAAACTCTTCTCTCCATCTCTTTTCTCTCCTATTATCTCTCTCTTGCTCTAAACGTGGCAAGTAAGGGGCAGAGTGAGCGCTGATTGGTCCACGGAAGGCCGTGGGCGCCTGGGAAATAAGTTCTCATCCCCAGCCACAGAACTGGCATCCTGGGTTTCTAGGCTTCAGGCTGTCCCAGGCCCGAAGGTAGGGCTTCACTGGGGACCCGCCCCTTTCTGCCCAGGAACCATCAACTGACTGTCCATGATGCCCAGGCTTTTCATGCCGAGGGGTGCCTACAGGCCTGCACCAAGCTGCCCTCAGCCCCACTTCAGCCTCTGGCCTCCCCCCCGTGCTTATTGGTGCACAAAGTCCGGAGGGGGCCGAGGTGGCAGGAGGTTGGCATGTCAGCACTGCCCCGAGTTTGCGCACTCCTGGCCAGGTCATGACAGCACCCAAGCTCAGCCTCAACTTTACTTAGAAATCTGAACAGGTGCCAGGAGTGGGGAGATGCTGGGTAGCGGGGGCAGACATTTCCAAAGCTGTGAGGAGACGGGATGCGTCCCGGGCCCCTAAGAACAAAGGAATCCCCAGATCCACCGCCACAGCTGGGTGGCTGCAGCTGCGTCCAGGAGAGTGGGCCTCCCACCCTTCCAACTCAGAAGGTGGTGGGGCTTCCACCTGTTGCCAGCTTCCGACAGTTCCGTGGAGTAGGCAACTTTGGCCATACCTCCTCTGCTGCAGCTGGCATCTTTGCAGCAGCCTCTCCAGAGGGGACACTGCTGCCATCAGTTCTATGTGGAAAATACATTAGTTTCTTGTTTAGCTGCTCTGTATCTATTTTCTTTCACTCTTGTAAATAAAATTCAATTCCACTGAGAAATAACTTCTCCAAATTAGAAAAGGAATCCATTGTAATTAGACAGGGTTGATTCCACTTCATACCTCCTGACGTGTGGAGGCAGCTTACGTGTCTCAGGGATCACCAATAAGAGTGTACCATTCTTCCATTCTAGGACCACGGTAAAAGATTCAAAGAGTGGAATAAGATCCAGGAAAGATAATGAGATTTAATTCTCAAATTCTTTTGCAACTAATGTAAAATAAACCATTTCCTTCTATTAGTGCTGTCAGTTGATGAGAGGGCCTACATGGGGGAAAATGTGTCTGAACCTGGACCTAACAGAGTAGAAAGGAGAAATGAGAGCTGGAAGGGGAAGCGTCTTGAAAATATTTATTATCTAAACAATAATGCCCCACACAAGAACTACACCTATATAACTTTTTGGTTAATTGATTTTTTCCCTCTGCTTTAGTCAATGTGGGCTGAATCTTGTAACAATTAATCTGATATTTTCAGGATTCTTTTGGGTACAAATTTGTACCTAAATGGTTATAAGTTGTCCTAACATTTCCTTAAACACTGGACTGCATTTTCAAGAAACTCAAAGATTGTAATGACTAAGCAAAAAGACTCCAAGAGAATTATCAAGACAAAGCAGTTCCACTGGGTCCTGGAAATGATTCTCTAACAGCTAAGAAACATCCATAGCAACATGCTACTACAAGTAAAGTCAGTTAAGTTTTTCTCTCCATCATTTCTGCAATGTCATCCTGATATCCAGATTTAGTTAACTGGAACCAGACCACACTTAAGAGACCTGCTCAGATAGCCAATGAGAACTGTTGGCTTCTGGCTGCCTCATCATATTTGTGACCATTCTGCTAAGACAGATAAAGCATGATTTTCAAATTGCTAATCTCTGCAACTTAACAAATATTGAGTACAATATTTTACTCTGAGCAAAAATCATGATTTATTTTGTTATTAAGAAAATTACACTTAAGATACTGTATTTTCTGCTGCGAATATTATCACACAGAAGAAAATGGGCATGTTATTTATACTGTAATGGGCAAATAGCAAAGAAAGCATAGATAAGGAATACAGCTAATTAAATTTGTCTGCATATTCCCATTTTCTTTTGTGTTTCCCTGTGCAGAAGAAGTTGGAAAATAAATAGATACATTTCCATGTATTTCGAAGTGCTTGAGTAAGAGACTGGATGTTTTATAACCCAAGGTAAAGAATGGTGCCTTGGAAAGACATAGAGCATTTTATCTGTTCTGAAAGAAAGGGTTACTCTCACAGTAATCCAAATGAGGGATAATTATAGTATGAACTAACGGATATAGCCCTGGAGATTTGAGAAATAGTTGAAGTTAAGATACTGATTGGATATAAAGAGTGAAAGAGGCACAATAATCTGTCCTTGATCAGGCGCGAGGAGTTAGTACAGTTGCAGGTATTGGATAATGAATGGTTGTCGGGGTAAATAAAGAAAAAAGCCAGATATATTTTCTTTATACATTTGTGTAGATGATGCTGTTATCTGTTAGAAGTGGATTGTCAAAGAAATACAGATTTAAAGAACAAAGGGGAAAAAAATCCTTAAAAGTGAAGTCAAGGCTTGGTACTAAAATAATATAATTTTAGAACCTTAAAAATGTATACTCAGTCCACTATAAAATAGAAGACACTGGAACTGTTGAATGCATACCAACTAAATTCAGTCACTGGCAATACTTCTAACAGAGATTGAAAAGAATAACAAAACAATGGGGAAATAATTTTGGAGATTTTACTCACATGGTCAAGATATTTTGCTTTTGGATTTAATTTCTTTGGAATTAAATGTCTTAGAAATTTAATTTGTGAGAAGATATAATATTCAAATTTTAATTTTACCTGAGAATTTGATAATGGAAGAGGGAATTACATTCAAATTTTGGGCATCTCTATTTTGACATTTTATTATGGAAGCATCTTGTCAAAATGTAATCTTATTGCAGAATTTCTTACGCTCTCTAGAATGATGTAACTGGTTATAATTTTTGACTGAAAATAGAATATAAGTTATCAACCTTGGGTGCAGAATGATGTAATCAAGTTTTTCTCCTGACTTGTTTAATATTCTATAACGAAGAAAATAAAATGTTATGCAAAGGTCCCAAAATGTATTCTGATAAACTGCTTGTCTCCTTAGACTGATTGACTAAAATATTGTTATACACAAATGACAAGAACAATTATCTAATGCACTATAAGGGGGACGCCCTCTGCCTTCTACTCATTCCTCCCCCGGGGTAGAGGAGTGACTTATCCTGACTAGTAAGATTAGAGAGAGAAATTTGAAATCTGTAGTCTGGTGCATTTATCCTTCTTCTGCCCACAGTACGCATATGTTCTGGTCTGTGCCTTCATGACAAGGGCAGGCTTCCCACTCAGGAAACCCTACACTTTTCCAGTCCTGCTTATTACCGGGTAGGTAATTGTGACTAATTCTGGTGTCTTGTATCATAAGACTGCTTGTCCAGAGATTGAATCATAATTTTTAAGTTAACGTTTGTGCCTTCATACTTTTATCCTTTCTTGATTATCTTATAAATCAGGTTAGCCATTTTGGGGCAAAAAAAAGGTGCCATTAGTTGGGGCCCCACAAAACTCTCCAAAAACTCAAAGGAAATAGTTTTTAGAAATTATCTGGAAACATAGAGATAAAGCTGCAAAAATGAAACCGAATATTCACCTTGTATTTTGTTTTGCTTCTCTCATTTTATTTTAGTCTTTGTCTTTTCCTCAATAGTCATAATGTGAAATATTTAATATTGAATAAGCCACGGAAGTTTTAAAATCAAGTAAACAACACAAAAAATTATTATTCAGTATGTGTATGCTATGTAGTAATTCATGTTAATTCAACTTCTTAATATTTTATTTTGTAATGAAATGTGGTTGATATCACTATGCTCATACATGCAAGAACACAAGAAAACACTTCTTTGAGCTTCAAAGATAAAAAGACTAATCTTGAAGACGAGTTTGAAACATTTTGGATGTAGAAATAATGGGGATTTGGTGATGATTTGATATGTAGCCAGAAAGAAGGTTGTGGCAAGGATGACAAAAGGACAAGGCAGAAATAAAGAGATACAGCATATATATATCCTGTGACTTAGACATACAAGTTTGCAAGGCAAAAGTCTTCACTAGGTCTATGAAACCGCTCTCATTCTTCATCTAACAACCATGTTTCTAGTGAATAGTGTACAAATAGTATAGACAGTATTCATTTAAAGAGAAGAATATAATATGATTAACATATTTAAACTTTGATAACTTGGGGAGTAGTATGCTGGAATTCCCTGTGCTTGAACAAGTGAATAAGTATAGTGAGATCCTATGTTTCAGATGCTTCCCAGAAATATTTGAGAGGACTATGTTGTTTTATTCATATTTTATAAATCTGTTATCTGAAAATATTTGTGAAAAATGGCACTGATGGACGTGTCATACACTGTTCTCAAAGTTACCTGTGAATCTGGCTCCATATAAGATCCACTGAATAAGAATTCTGAGGTTGCAGCTTCAGAATTTTTCTTTTTTTATTTATTTATTATCATTATACTTTAAGTTTTAGGGTACATGTGCACAATGTGCCGGTTAGTTACATAAGTATACATGTGCCATGCTGGTGCGCTGCACCCACTAACTCGTCATCTAGCATTAGGTATATCTCCCAATGCTATCCCTCCCCCCTCCCCCCACCCCACAACAGTCCCCAGAGTGTGATGTTCCCCTTCCTGTGTCCATATGTTCTCATTGTTCAATTCCCACCTATGAGTGAGAATATGCAGTGTTTGGTTTTTTGTCCTTATAATAGTTTATGGAGAATGATGATTTCCAATTTCATCCATGTCCCTACAAAGGACATGAACTCATCCTTTTTTATGGCTGCATAGTATTCCATGGTGTATATGTGCCACATTTTCTTAATCCAGTCTATCATTGTTGGACATTTGGGTTGGTTCCAAGTCTTTGCTATTGTGAATAGTGCTGCAATAAACATACATGTGCATGTGTCTTTATAGCAGCATGATTTATAGTCCTTTGGGTATATACCCAGTAATGAGATGGCTGGGTCAAATGGTATTTCTAGTTCTAGATCCCTGAGGAATCGCCACACTGACTTCCACAATGGTTGAACTAGTTTACAGTCCCACCAACAGTGTAAAAGTGTTCCTATTTCTCCACATCCTCTCCAGCACCTGTTGTTTCCTGACTTTTTAATGATTGCCATTCTAACTGGTGTAAGGTGGTAGGGAAAACTGGCTAGCCATATGTAGAAAGCTGAAACTGGATCCCTTCCTTACACCTTATACAAAAATCAATTCAAGATGGATTAAAGACTTAAACGTTAGACCTAAAACCATAAAAACCCTAGAAGAAAACCTAGGCTTTACCATTCAGGAATAGGCATGGGCAAGGACTTCATGTCTAAAACTCCAAAAGCAATGGCAACAAAAGCCAAAATTGACAAATGGGATCTAATTAAACTAAAGAGCTTCTGCACAGCAAAAGAAACTACCATCAGAGTGAACAGACAACCTACAAAATGGGAGAAAATTTTCGCAACCTACTCATCTGACAAAGGGCTAATATCCAGAATCTACAATGAACTCCAACAAATTTACAAGAAAAAAACAAACAACCCCATCAAAAAGTGGGCAAAGGACATGAACAGACACTTCTCAAAAGAAGACATTTATGCAGCCAAAAAACACATGAAAAAATGCTCATCATCACTGGCCATCAGAGAAATGCAAATCGAAACCGCAGCTTCAGAATTTTTCAATTCTGGATTGTAAAATTGGATTTACAGGTGTTGGGAAGAAAGCACAGGTCTTTTTCAGGCAGAGCTAAGTTTGAGAATTACTGGCTGGCTTATGAATATATGTGTAATCAGTAAGCTTCAAATTTACAGGAAAATTTTAAGCATCAATATTATCAGAATGAAATAACCAAGTAAGAGTTAAAACCATAATTGTCCTCCCCAATAGCGATCAGTGATAGAGGAGGCTAGAGAGCAAATGTGAATCCAAGCTACTCATTGTTTCATCCTAGTTTTTCTGATTTAAACTATATGTGGGTCTCACAATACAAAATTATTTGAACCCAACCAACTCCTTCCTGTCCTCTCTCCCACACAATGGGGTTTTAAACACATAATCAATCCTGTATACTACAATAACGTAAGGAAAAGTGATTAGAGTGGGAGATTTGACTCACGAGCAGAGGCGAGTCTTTGGCTCTCAGCAAGTACAGTTTACCCATAGATCAAAAGCATACATTAGGCGAGTTGACATCGAAAGTGCCACTTGACTTTTCCTCATTATCAGAGGTTCACAAAACTTTGCAAAGTGAAACATATTTCCCACTAAGAGCGGGACGTAGATGGAGATTTCTATGCTTCTTTTTTTTTTTCATATAACCAAGAAGCTACTTTTGTGAAGAAAATTTTGACAAATGTATCAGGAACCAGTAAACACCATGAGAAAGAACCTATCTTCCTGATTGGTAGCTTTGTTGGTTCTGCAAAAGAAATAAAAGTTAAAATACAGAAACAAGAAAAGAGGAATGCTATTTTTATGATTGTAGTCATGTTTTGCATTTTACTTATTTTTAAAAGTGTATAGTAAGACATTACCATTTTTTAAGCTAGTTGTATTTACTCTTCATTGATGTACTTGAAGATTTAACATGAAAAGGCAAGTCAGTTTTTTCAATTCAAATTGGTTTCCAACGCATCTTTGGACAGTTATTAAGATGAGGATACAGAGTGGAAGCAGAGTCAGGACTACCAAACTCTGGTTGAAAGCACCACCTACTGGGTACTAGAAACAGCTACTGCTTTTAGCTTTTCTGACTTTAGAGTAAACAGATGAAATATGAATCAAGGGAAAGTTTAATGCACATAGAATTTTGCTTACAGAAGGAAATACCTCCCATATTAGGACTTTATTTATATTTAACCAAATTAAAGAAAAAACTGGTGCATTATCTAAAGGGTATTCTCTAGTATCCTGCCACAAAAATCGAGCCAAGACTTAGAATCTTTAAAACTATGTAGAGTGACAGTACAAAGCACTGAAGAAAATAGTTCGGCAAATTCATAGAGCAATAAATGTAATAATTCTTACATGTAATAATGTAATAATTTTGTCAATAAATGTAATAATTCTTCAGTAATTTCCAAAATGACAGGAACATTATCGATCATTTGCTAGCTAGCTGGCAAATATTTAATCCTCAAACCGCACTATGTGTGCCTTGTATAAATGTACAGAGAGTAATAAATGAGAAATTTTCCCAATACATTTTCATAAAAACAAGTGAAATGTTTTACACAGTACTGTGACTCCTAAATGCTTTTCTTGTCACTATTTTTGAGTGGTGGAAATCTTTTAAACTCTAAAAAATATCTGGAAAATAAAGATAAATCACAAATGTATTTTAATATGAATATTTTGGGGAGCAATTTGGATCTGGAGTTGACCAACATGATTTGAGGATTTTAGGTATAGCCTGAAATTTTATGAACATTTTTCTTTATAGCCAAGTGGAAAATTTGTTTCAAATAATAAATTACTACTGAAAATTTTATCAGTAGAGACTTCCCTGTTCCAGTGTCTATTCAAATGGATTGTGAAACTCTTAGAGAAATTCCAAGCATCACTGAGCCAGTCTCTAATAAGTCAGAAAGATGGAGATTGATCAGTCATTCAATCGGTATTTATTTTGCACTTGGAAGTAATTTGTCCTTACAACGTCTGGGTCCTAAGATCCATTAAGCTTCATCTTGAAAGCATAGGGATTACAGTACAGTATCATCCAGAATTTGCTATCTCTTACAAGAACTTCCTTTCTTCTGTACTCACATTTATGACTCTCTTCTCTCCTAGTCATGTAGTTACAAAGGTAGAAGAAAAACCATAAAGTAGTTAAATATGCAAAATATAAATCTTTTTACCGTTTTTCTCACCTCAAACATGTAACATGCCTCCCTGTAGTTCAGCTAACGTCCATACAAAATCCAAGCAAATATCTATGAGGCAGGTTGCATGCTTTTTCACTTCTCTCTCTTCTCAGGATTTCCTTAGCAGAGGATGCCATTCACTATCACACCTGCCATTCCAAATCCCACTTGTCATTTTGGTAACAATTTAGATATCAAATCTTTAAAGAAGTCTTCAGGCGACTACCCTTATTCTCTCCTTCCTGAAACATTCTTTTTATTCAGTGAAATCACTTTTCTTGTTTCCATCTCTTTGTCTCCATTGAAAAAACTTCCTCCTTAATCTCATTTCTAAATTGGGGCTTCTCAGGACAAACTGTAAACTCTTTCCCTCAATTATCTTATCTATTCTTATGATTTTGAATATCATTTCTACATTGATAATCCCCCAATGCATATTGCCAGACTATTCTTCTGTTAAGAACTCGGCACTTTGGGAGGCTGAGGTGGGTGGATCACGAGGTCAGGAGTTTGAGACCAGCCTGACCAACATGGTGAAACCCTATCTGTACTAAAAAAATACAAAAAATAGCTGGGCATGGTGGTGCGCACCTGTAGTCCCAACTACTCAGGAGGCTGAGGTAGGAGAATCGCTTGAACCCGGGAGGCGGAGGTTACAGTGAACCAAGATTGTGCCACTGCACTCCAGCCTGGGTGACAGAATGAGACTCTGTCTCAAACAAACAAACAAACAAACAAACACAACCCACCCCCGCACCACAAAACTCCAGACACAAATATACAGCAGTGTCAATGATGTCTATATTTTTCAAATTTTGCAGGTATTCCACATAAACCTTTGTATGACTTTTATAACTCTCTCTCCTCCCTCATTCTTTATCCAAATCTGCTTTCCCTGATATTTCTGTCTCTGTTAGTGGTCTGCAATCACCGGGAGGTCCAGAGAAAGAGTCCAAGCATCATCCTTGCCACCACCTTCTTTCCTGCTATGTATCAAATCATCACCAAATCCCCATTATTTCTACATCCAAAATGTTTCAAACCCATCTTCTCTCTGGCTTCCTAATCCAAATCCTCAGAGTAGGTGATTTGTCATTTTTCTATTTGTTGAATGTATTTATATATGACTGAATAAAGTGGGTTGGTAAATTTCCTTCTAGTAATGCTAATAATTTCCTCCCTTAAACACATAATTCTCTGTAGTTCTTATAAAAATTTATCTTGAAAGACTCTCTTTTACTTGTTCTTTGATTCTCTATTGTTACTAAAAGACTCTCTTTTACTTGTTCTTTGATTCTCTATCTTTACTAGTTTTCATGTTCTTTAATTTATCTATTCATATTAGGTATCTAGCTCCTATTTTGAGCAAATAACTATTTTAAATATTTAATTGAAATGTCCTGTGTTGTTGAAATAAATACCTAAAACAGAGGCAACCTAACCTTCAGCTTCCCTCTAAGCCTATTTTCCTTTCCTTTCTTGCCATTGCTGATTATTTAATTCCAGTTACAGTTCTGATTTTGTGATAAACATTTCCTTGCTTTCATAATAAATTTCATTAATTCTTAATACAACCCTAAATAATATAATTTTCTCTATTGTAATCTATATATAATTGGAATCGTACTGTGTGCATACCTTTTTAATATGTTTAATTCAAATTATATTGAAGATTTATCCACTTTTTATTGTATTATTTCTATTTCTCTTTGAAAATTCATTGGAAAAACATACAGCAATGTATTCAGCCATGCTATTTTAAATCACCAATTGGGATATTCTATTTTTAACTATTATAAAAAAATTCCGCCGCACATACTGTTGGATATAATTTTTGGGATACATGTACATGAGTTTCTGTAGGTTGTAAGAGATGTACACCTTCAACTTTATTAGATGAAGCTAAACTCTTCCAATTTACACCCTTTCCAGGAGGGCGAAAGAGTTCTGCATCATCAGTTATATTTAATGTTACAATTTTCTATTTTTTCTAATGTCATATATGTATTTGTGATTTTTACTGTCATTACCTGGTTATTTATGATTGTTTTATATATGTTCTCATCATAAAGTATCTATAAACATATCTTGCCTATTTTTTATTGGTTTTTCTGATATGTAGAAATTTTTAACATATTCTGAAGTTTTTTTCTTTGTCAATAATATGTACTAATATCTTTCATTCTTGTGTTGATTGTTTTTTCTTTAAAATGCCTTTAAATTAATAGAGATTTTAAATGGAGTTAGCATTTTCTGTGTTTTGAGACAACTTCTTTACTCAAAGAAATGAATGAATAAATGATGGGATCTCACTCTGTCCCCCAGGCTGGAGTGCAGTGAAACAGTCATGGCTCACTGCAGCCTTGCCCTTCTGGGCTCAAGTAATCCTCTCACCTTAGCCTCATTAAGTAGCTGAGATTACGGGCGTACGCCACCACGCCTGGCTAATCTTTTTGTATTTTGTAGAGGTGGGGGTCTCACTACTCACTATGTTGTCCATGCAGGTCTAGAACTCCTGGGCTCAAGCAATACTCTTTCCTTGGCTTCCCAAAGTGCTGGGGTTACAAGCATGAGCCACTACACTCAGGCATAACATATTTAAAATCTTTATAGTTTTGGAGTTTACATGAATGTTTTAAATGGATTGGGAATTTATTTTTGTGTATGGAATAAGGTGAGAATCCAATTTTCTGTTTGCTTATATTAATGTCAAATTATCCTAGACAATTTATTTAACGGTATGTTTCTTCATTACTGAGGAACAATGACACCTCAGACATGTACCATATGTGAAGTGAAAAATAATTAAACATGACTTGTAACATAATGCTTGTAATTAACAATACTATTATTGCTAATGACTTATTAATTGCAAGTGACATAGCTTATTTGATATGGTTTGCTTGCTATTCATATATTCATTAATTCATTCAATAAGAACTTATTTTGAACATTATCCTATATGGTAGTCCCCCTTATCTGCAGTTTTTCTTTTATTGATTTTAATTACCTACTGTCAAATATGGTCCAAAAATAGATGAGTACAATAAAATATTTTGAGAAAGGGAGGCACATTCACATAATTTTTCTTATTGTATATTGTTATAATTGTTCTGTTTTATTATTGGTTATTAATCTCTTTCAGTGCCTAATTTATAAATTAAATTCTGCCATACATATATAGAAAAATACATAGCATTTATAGGGTTTGGTAATATCTGAGGTTTCAGGCATCCACTGAGGATCTTGGGATCTATCCCTCGTGGATAAGGAGGGACTGCTGTATCATGTGACACTAATCGAATGGGATGAAAAGGAAAGTTAAAACTATTTCCTTGATCTCTAAGACTGATCTGTCAAGACAAAACGCATCTTTGTTCTCAATTCAACATAAAATATAGTAGAATGTCCTTGTAATGTTAATCATTTTTAAAATTTGGTCTCAGCTAAAATGGATATCTAATCATGAACACTAAATTGAATATAATGTTTTCCTTACATGTTATTTCCATACATACAGCTTACAACTCTTAAGAAAACAATCATGCCAGAAACATTTTTTTTCCAGATACATACTTTCACATTTTACAACTTAGTACAATATGCTAAAAATGGTCAGTGATGAAGAAACACTAACCAAGGCTGGTGTGTCAATCCTTTATGGTTAAGGGTGAACCAACTAAAGGACATCTAAATGTTACTGCTGATTCAATCCAGGTTTATCTCCTTTAAAAATCAAGTAAGACATCTACAAACAGAGTAAGAATCTCAGGAAAGAACACTTATTTTCTTTTCTTTATGACTCCAAGGTGTTGGAAAAGCTTAGCTCTTTCTTCTATGTTTAGAATGGATAGTGTTTATACTTTGTTTTGAATGTGAAAGAGTGGCCAGAAGCAAAGTCTCTGTTCTGTGCATTTTAAGCAATCCCTGACATCTCAAGGAACTGCTGAGAGAATGCAAATGAACAGAATCCAGAAGACAGAAAGTGAGCCTAGCCACAACGAAGCAAAAATGGGGACTGTGAGGCATTCTCTTCTCCTTTCTTCTGTTAAGTAAAGTTAGAAGAAATAATTCAGGCCCAGAGAAGGCTGTTACCAGGAGATCAATGATGTCAGTTCTGATTTGTGCCACATGAGGAGGGAATATGTACACTTAAAAAAGAAGAAGAAAAGGACAAAAAGCTAGGGAAAAGTGAGAATGTATGTCTCAGTCTGAAATAAATTGTAGTTACACTTACACAGAAGCTAGCAATATGCCATATGAGGGTGAAACATATATTGCTTGTTTACATTATGAACGTGTTTCGAATAAGATTGCAGTTTCCATGGTGTTAACATTCCAATTTGCTTATTTTCTGAGTCATACATCTTATTAAACCCTGTATTAATTATTGCTAAAGATAGTCTGGATCATCGGCTAATTTGTTGAGATCAGCCCTCTAATATCAAGCATTAGCTTTATGCCCTGATTGATGGTTAATGTCCCTGAGAGTGTCCTGAACATAATCAGCCATCGTTTGCTTCTGAATAATAACATACTTACCAGACTTTTAACTTAAAATATTTTATACTGTGTAGCAAAATCTCAGTATCTAAAACCATGATAAACATATGTGGAAACATTTACTACCTAGCATAGTTGACAAAACGAGGCACTCATTAGTTACGATGAACAGTCTACCCTAATTAGTCAGTTACATTGACTGCAATTATTTTAGTATATTTGTGTGTTGTAGAAGGATACCAATTATGTTTATATTGGGCCTGTTTATTTGGGTATGCAGTGAGTGGACAACTGTTCTTTAATTATAGCTGCTCTTATAATTGAAATTATGATCTGCTCACTCGTGGTTACTACACCTAAAAGATATGATGACTTTTTAGTTTCTACAGTGTACCAGGTATTGTGTATCTATGTAAATATGTATAACCTTTTGAACATTATATTACCAAAATGCCAGGGGTAACATTTAGAAAGCCAGTCATTGAGGCAATGAGTATTGCCAGAGAAAAAGACTTTAGGTCTTTCAGGTGCTACAGCTGAAAAGATGGCAGATCAGCTTCAAATCCATCTTCTCAACTGACTAGAATTAGAGGTTTATATAGCAACAAGACATGTAATTGTGTGGGAAAACAGGAATTAGGGAGAAGTAAGGAAGAGGAGTTGGTCAACAAGAAGCAGGTGCTGGCATGGGCAATCATGACAGGTGAGGAGTCTGGCCTCTCTTTGTCCAGATGCCATGGTCTGGTAAGTTCCAGTTCCTTGGTACTATCTGGGAAGCCTAATGGATGACTTCCTGAGAAAGAAACTCAGATTAGACAAAATGTAACTTTCTCAAGTTTTAAGATTGGGAGGGTCCACTGCTATTTTTATTAAAAAAAAACCAAACTCATAAACATCAGTTCTGTGAGGCAATTGGGCTGGTTTTAATTATAACAACCTTATAAAGTAGGTATTATTACTGCCTTTTTATAAATAAAAGTTAAAAAACATAATCCTGGTCATAATTGAATAAATTATTCAGTGTTTTTACTTACAACCTTGTTAATCAGTTTACCATACACCACCAAACTTCATTTGATATAAAAAGTAAAATCTTGAGATTGATAGACACACACGTTTACAGATGTAACTTGCCAGCAACAATCAATTCTGCCTCATTTTGAAATGTGTTATCTCTATAATTGATCATATAACAAAGATACTAAGCCATAACTGTCTATGGTAATTTTTGGTACTGGCCAAACAGGTTAAAGGCTAACTGAAAATAGCTTCTGAAGGTGATCAGAGATGGTAGGTGAGTTAGGGAGGGCAGAATCTTAAGAGCCACGTGGGTAAACAATGTTTACTTTGTTAAAGGGCCTTAGGGAATATTACAGTCATTATTTTCTAGGTCATAAAGCACTGGGATAGGAAAAGTAGACCTAAAAGAGGTCTCTATACTGGAATATATTATCTAGGCACCTTTGGCTTCTTGGGGCTACCAGAAAAAAAAACTAAGTATTGGACTACCCTTGGGTTAGCTTCACTCACTATTTGACTTGACTTAGCATAATCAACACAGAAATGTGGTTAAGCCTAAATACAAACTTTCTCTTATCTACCACACCATTCTATTGTTTATGTGAGAAAATATGAGAATGCTTTTCCTTTATTCCCATAGAAAGTTGTGTTTACCTACAAGGCTTCCTGCTGAAGGAATAAACTACTATGATATGAGAATTTTGTTGTTTGCGACAATGGAAAGAAATGGTGTGATAAATAGTTGAATGTTTCATTTAAATAAGTGGAAATATATCAGAAGGTGAGAAGATATAAACAAAAGCCATTTAAATTGAAAATAAACAGAAAATGTAATAAGTGTTCACTGAAATTATACATTTTAACTTTTTGTAATGCACAAATTAGCCTCAAAATCTCATTGCATTTTGTGGACCACAATGAGTTTGATCTAAGCAACTTAAATCCAATGGAGCACAATTCCCCTAGTTTAGCTGTTATACTAGGATTGATAGAACATGCAAATTAGGATATTTTAGCCAAAATAGTCTTTGATAGTCTGTACATACAAGGCAGGTAATTTGAACAAGTGTCTATATGTTACCTTTTTTTCCAGCATATTGTCTGAAATGTACAGACAACTAGAACAAACATTCATTTTCTTAGAATTATACAGATAGCCATAGCTATTTAGGTTAATAGGATAAAATCTAGCTTTTAAATTGTTATGTAAATGATGTTGGCATTTTCTTCTATTTAAAGACATAACTTTTTTTAGGAAATTTATGTTATCTGTATCTGAAAAAAACTTGCTGTCCGGCATGTCCGTGTGAAGAGAGTCCACCAACAAGCTTTGTGTGAGCAACAAGGATGTTTATTTCACTTGGGTTCAAGTGGGCTGAGTCTGAAAAGAGAGTAAGCAAAGGGAGATGGGGTGGGGCAGTTTTATAGGATTTGGGTAGGTAGCGGAAAATTACAGTTAAAGGTGGTTACGTCTTGTGGGCAGGGGTGGGGGTCACAAGGCGTAAGGTGGGGAGCGGGGGAATGTCACAAGGTCGATTGATTAGTTGGGGTGGGGTAGGAACAAATCACAATGGTGGAATGTCATATTTTGTGGTTCTTCAGTTGCTCCAAGCCCTCTGGATGTATACATGCAGGTCACAGGGGTTATGATGACTTAGCATGGGCTCAGAGGCCTGACACTTGCCACTACTAAAGCAGAGATTTATTATGAAATTGGATTTATTTTTCTGTTCATTCAAACAGTTTTTTTTCATTCTTAACTCAGTAAATATTTGCTACCAACTTTATCACACTCATTATTCTGACAGCTAGGCATATGGTAGCAAACAACAACAAAAATAGACAAACATTTCTAAACTTTTTCAGGTAGTAAAAAGATCTGTTTGGTTCCAGTGAAGTGAGACAGGAGGCCACTGGCAGAGGTGAAATCAAAGAACCAACATAGAAAAGAGGAAGGCTAAGTTCTTGAAGAAATTTGTACTGAACTTAGGATTTTTTTTTTCTTTGAGATGAGAAACATTGGCGGGTTTTTTTTTTTTTTTTTATACAAGCTTTTTAAAAGATCACTTTGGCTATTCTCTGAGGACAAAAGTGAAAGCAAAAGACTGGGTAGGAAGCTGTTTCTCCACACCAAAGATGATAGTTGTTTGGACCAATTGGCATTTGCTGATGGGTGGGATGTAGCATATCAAAGAATGGATGGTACTAAGAATGTTTTAGGGAATTTTTTGTATGTTTCTCGGGGTTTTTCTTTTTTTATGTATACTTATCTGAGTAACTGGGACAACATGCCATTTTCCAATATGGAGAGGAATAGGTTTGGGCAATGGTGAGGAAGATTAGAAGTTCTCCTTGGCAATATCAATTTTGGAATGTCTGCAGACCTCTAATATAAGAGGCTGTTGACTAGGCAGTTGATTACATGAATTTGAGGTTCAGGGGAACATTCCAGACTGTATATATCTTTGGGAGTTGTAATTATTTAGATGACCATAAGACTAAATGAAGTCACTAAGGGAGAGGAGTTCCAAAAGGTATATCCTGAGTCCTCCAACACTTTTAGGTTGGATGATAAGGAATAATGAGCAAAGGAACAGAGAAAGAGTGATTTCAATAGGCAGACAACTCAGATGTTGAGGAAAGCCAAGAAGGAATGCAGATCAACTAAATGCTGCCAACAGAGAGGTATGATGACAATTAAGAGTTGACTCTAGGGTTTTGTAATGTTGAAGCCTTTGGCAACCTTAGCAAGATAAGTTTCAATAGAGCAATGCGGGTGAAAGCCTCTTTGTAATGCTTCAAGAGGCTGGGTGGAGAGAACACAGAGATAAACTGTAGGGACAGCAACGTCAAGGAATTTTGTTATGAAGGGGAGCAGAAAAAAATGAACAGCCATTGGAAGAGGGAAGTGGTATAGAGGAAGAGGGCTTTTGTTAAGACTGTGGAAATTACAGCATATTCACTATCTGATAAAAATAATTTTTCAGAAAGGAAATTTTTGTTCTGCATTCAGAAAGCTAAGCTAAAGATATTCCAAGCATTGCAGTAGTTTTCCTTCAGAGCACCTTGAGAGTTTAAAACTGAGCTGAAAATCACTATGAAAACTACATAACTCCAGTATGCCAAATTGAGCTTCTTGAATTTGCAGCCTGAGTTATTGTATGATTTGTTCATCTATTATGTAGTTTATTCTTGTTTGGGGACTTAGATCTTTAGTCTGGTAGATATTATTTTAACCTGTTCACTGTGACTCAGGAAACCAAACAGTGTCTAATAGCAAAGACAGCTGCTAACATAGAAAGCAATTAATCAAAACCTCTATTTCAGTGAGTTATAATGCAGAAACTCATATGCATATTACTCGATGGAGCTATTTCAACACTTTTGTTCATTTAAAAAAGTGAATGTCATGTTTGGGAAAGTACTTAGACTGACAGCTCTCAAGATGGATGTCCCTCTTTCTTATTCAATGAGGAGGTACAGTAATCTGAATTCCAAACTTTCCATTCTGCCATAAGTTAGAAAGTCTGCATTCCTCATATTTTTGGTTCCTAAGTAAAAATTGTATAAAATTTCTGTCCTAAGCATTTTCTCCAGAAAGTTTTTTTTTCTGAAATTGTTTTTGTATTTGGGGGAGCAAGAGTGTTGTAGCAGATCATTAAAGGGAAAGAATGCATTTTTTACGAAGGCAAAATTGGGCAAATTTAGCCCAAATTATATACCAGTTGCAATTCTAGAAATAAATTTACCAAAGTGGTATGCACAAGGCAGAGATTCGGTTTTTAGTCTTTACAAACAGATAAATAATGAGTGAGCAAGGTTCAAAAGTTTACCTTTTATAAATTTTGAGTTATTAAGAAAATTGGTATTTTATGTAAGTCCCAAAAAAGTACATTCTGTGTTCTTGTGTTTATGAAGAAAACTGATACTTTAAATCCAAAGTTTATTTAACTCTCTTATGAGGGCTTCAGAAAATTTTTTCTCTTACAGTAGCAAGAACCTTAGATTATATGTATGGTATACTATTTTGTCTATCAATTCCTCTTCAAGGGTTAAGTCTTTAGGTAATCATCACACATAAACAAACATATTTGAGAGTATGAATGACTATCACAAATTTGAAAGACAGACTAAAATCTGGTTACACATGGAATAAAATACAAAACTTTTTACTTTTATTTAAGAATCTTTTTATAACAGGGAAATAAAAAGTGAAAAAGTTGCATCCTAATTTTATGGTGAAATAATCTATTATAAAATTACTCTTTACTTTGGTGGTAGGTATACACACATTTTTCTTTTCTTTTTATATATGCATCTATATTTTTCCGTGTTTTACAGGGAGGATATATGTTTTTTAAGTTGAATATACAAAAATGATTAAACAGTTTGAGTACAGTTAAATAGGCATAACTCTAAAGTGGATATTGTTATTATGTGAGAATAAACTCACCAGATTTGATGGTAGTGAATTTGGAGTATTCATTTTCAAAGTTTTCAGTGAAAAACACTTTGTTCTAATAAAGCAATATGTAGCATAATGGCTAAACACACAAACATCTAATATTGCGGACCTGCAATCCCTCCTTTCCTCCATGTTTTCCCATTCTCCCACTCTTTCTCTTTTCTTCCCTCACTCTTTGGGAACTTTGGTATTTCAAACTTGAGATTTGTGCCTGAGGGGGTAGACAAATTTGCATAACTAACTGGAGTGTAAAGGTATTATGACTACAAGGTTCTTTTCTCTGAACTGGTTTTTGGAACTCATTGGGATGAATTGGCACAGCGCGAATGGAGACGATAGGGAAGGACAAAGTCCTTTTCCTAGGCGTCATTCCTCATACTAGCAATACGAAGAAGGAGGGAAAGAAAAGCCAAGTACTGAATTCAGAACGGAGTTTAACTAACCTGTGCTAGTGAAGTGGCAGACACTGGGGTGTGCTGAGCAGCAGTCTTTCTGATAGCATGCTTTTGTTCTGGGGAAGTATATACAACCAAGAGACAGAGGGACCTTCTGCTGATCTGGACACATCATATGTGAGTTCTAAACCTAGAAAGAGGGCTTGAGTTATACATGCATTATACCCTAAAATAGGACATCACAATCACAAATAAAGTAAGCCAAATTAAGAGATATTAGAGTTGTAGAGTCCAGAGTTTTCTGTCTCAGTTCCTTGGAACCCCCAAACACACTTGTGAGAAATCTTACTGTTATGTAGAATACAATTTTAAAAATACTGATTTATATCATCGACTCAATTGTGCTAACGTACATAAATATAGTGTGCTTGAATAGCTAAAATTGCATAGTATTTCAAGTGGGATTGAAAGAGCCAGTGAGGGAAGAGGAAAAAACCTATGATATTATGAAAGCTACAAGAAGAGTGTTTGAAGGTATGAGTGGACAAGGTTTGAATGTTTCTTTTTATATTTTCATTAAACAAATATTCATTGAGTGTCTTATGCCTCCACAAACTGTGCTTGGCACTGGGAAAAAAAATAAACACCCATTTTATGTAGAAATTAGTCACTTACAAGAATTTTTAATTGGGCAGAACTGTGTACTCAACTAAGCTCATTAAAGAAAATATTTTCTACTCAGATGATGAAGGCTTTTCTAGGGATACCAAGATTTACTGGTGGCATAAACTTGTATAAATTTGATTGGAAAATAAAAATTATTTAAAATAAATTCCATAATTTAACAACTAGAATTATTTCAGTTCTTAGCTGACGAGAATAGAAAATGAAATGAAGTCTTGACTGACTTATTTGTAAGCCTGAAAGTCATTCAAGTCATGAAAAACCAAAGATTAGAGACAATTGTTATTGTTGTTTTGGATTGTTCAAAGAGTGTTATTTAAATTTTCTACTTTTTATTTCTGCTTGAGACTACATTTAACTGAAAGGAATATATAAAAGTACTACAGAGACATCTGTTCTAGCTACATGTTATGTGTGATATCACATCAAATCCACATAATATAATTAGTATAAAACTTTTTAATGATCATTGATTCCTACTACATAGGAAACTACTATAAGTTTGAAAAAGCAGAAAATGTAACTTAAGATCTTATTTTCAGAAATATAATTCTAAGCAGATTAAATTTAGAGCATATAATTAGTATTAACCAAATTATTATAATACCATAAAACAAGTGCTGTATTATATACTACTATTTTATAAAGATCCACCATATCAAGGACACTATAACTTTATTTGTTCTGAAAAGTATCAGGTCAGCCATGGATGAATACAAATAGTTTCATTTGAATTAAATCAAATATCTTTCTTATTTTAAATATTATGTTAGTGTCTGTATGTCCCATAAATAGTAGCCTGTCTTTTAAGATTTTAGAAATTAGGTACTGCCTACTCCACTCACGTGGGCCTGTATTTGACATGTCATAAAGTTGTGTAATAGACTCTGTCTACTCAGTCTCCAATAGGGCCTGTTGCTTACTCCATGGTCATTTGCTTGTCTATTTGTTTTATATTAATAAATGAAACAGTATACAAATTTCTGTATGATGGCATTAGTTGGTGAATTATGGAGAAGAGGAGGAAACTGTTGAAAAATAAAATTTGGACTCTCATTTCTCTCAGTATTACCAAATGTATATGCTGAAATTAACCTCCAAAAAAAGTATAGAAAATGCTGTATGATATTTTATATATATGTATATGTGTGTGTACATGTGTATACCTATAGAGATGTTTATATATATACATGCTTATAGAGAGGTCATATATACTCTATTTACACCATAAATTAAGGGAAATTCTCTATAGTTCTGTCTCACAAATAAATTAAAGTTAGCAATCTATCAAAACAACCTGATTAAGGGCATTTGCTTTGATAGAGACTATTAAATATGTATTTTAGTATGTTTAGTGGTAAAATAAGTTAATAAAACATATGGCTAAAGGATAAGATATTATAAAAAATTAACAGGCAGATTTGAAAAGAACTAAGATAGACATTCAAAAATATAAATTGAGATCTAAATTTCAATACATATTAATCAGAAGCTTAGACACAGCTAAATATATATTTTTAATAATCTATCTTGGATTGCTGACATGGGTAAACTAAAGCAGATGGAGGAAGTCAAAATTAGTCATACTCAGGTTGAAAGAAAAGTAACAACCAAAAAAATCCTGTACTTATGTAACTTTTCCACTTAAAATTTATATACATATATATGTATGTGTTTGTAAGTATGTGTGCATGTGTGTGTAAGGGCACAGAAAAATATTAAATCATTCTTACACTTTATTTTATTCAGAAATAAATGGTAGCAAAAGAGCTAAAAAACTGAACTCTGATAGCAAATCAGGGAGACTTTTATTTCTTTTATTTTTTTGTTTTTATTTTACGTTAAGTTCTGGGATACATGTGCAGAATGTGCAAATTTGTTCCACAGGTATACGTGTGCCATGGTGGTTTGCTGTACCTATCAACTTGTCATCTAGGTTTTAAGCCTTGCATGCATTAGATATTTGTCCTAATGCTCTCCTTCCTCTTGCTGCCCAACCCCACCCCCGACCTCTGCCAACAGGCCCCGGTGTGTGGTGTACCCCTGCCTGCGTTCATGTGTCCTCATCAACTCCTACTTATGAGTGAGAACATGCGGTGTTTGGTTTTTCTGTTCTGTGTTATTTTTCTGAGAATGATGGTTTCCGGCTACATCCATGTCTCTGCAAAGGACATAAACTCATTCTTTTTTATGGCTGCATAGTATTCCATGGTGTATATGTGCCTCATTTTCTTTATCTAGTCCATCATTGGTACCCAGAGGATAATGGGATTATTGGGTCAAATGGTATTTCTGGTTCTAGATCCTTGAGGAATCGCCACACTGTCTTCCACAATGGCTGAACTAATTTGCACTCCCACCAACAGCGTAAAAGTGTTCCTATTTCTCTGCAGCCTCACCAGCATCTGTTGTTTCCTGACTTTTTAATAGTCACTATTGTAACTGGCATGAGATGGTATCTCGTGGTTTTGATTGCATTTCTCTACTGACTAATGATAAGCTTTTTTTCATATGTTCGTTGGCTGCATAAATGTCTTCTTTGGAGAAGTGTCTGTTCATATCCTTCACCCACTTTTTGATGAGGTCATTTATTTTTTTTTCTTGTAAATTTATTTAAGTTCTTTGTACGTTCTGGATATTAGACCTTTTTCAGATGGGTAGATTGCAAAAATTTTCTCCCATTCTGTATGTTGCCTATTCAATCTGATGATAGTTTCTTTTGCTGTGCAGAAGCTGTTTAGTTTAATTAGATCCCATTTGTCAACTTTGGCTTTTGTTGCCATTGCTTTTGGTGTTTTAGTCATGAAGCTGTTGTCCATTCCTATGTCCTGAATGGTATTGCCTAGGTTTTCTTCTAGGAATCTTATGGTTTTGGGTTTTACATTTAAGTATTTAATCCATCTTGAGTTAATTTTTGTATAAAGTGTAAGGAAGGGGTCCAGTTTCAGTTTTCCTCATGTGGCTAGCCAGTTTTCCCAGAACCATTTATTAAATAGGGAATCTTTTCCCCATTGCTAGTTTTTGTCGCGCTGTCAAAGATCAGATGGTTGTAGATGTGTGGTGTTATTTCTGAGGTCTCTGTTCTGTTCCATTGGTCTATATATCTGTTTTGGTACCAGTACCATGCTGTTTTGGTTACTGTAGCCTTGTAGTATAGTTTGAAATCAGGTAGCATGATGCCTCCAGCATTGTTCTTTTTTGCTTAGGATTATCTTGGCTATACAGGCTCTTTTTTGGCTCCATATGAAATTTAAAGTAGTTTTTTCCAATTCTGCAAATAAAGTCAATGGTAGCTTGATGGGAATAGCATTAAATCTATAAATTTCTTTGGGCTATATGGCCATTTTCATGATCCTGATTCTTCTTATCCATGAACATGGAATGTTTTTCCATTTGTTTATGTCCTCTCTTATTTCCTTGAGTAGTTGTTTGTAGTTCTTCTTAAAAAGGCACTTCGCATCTCTTGTAAGTTGTATTCCTAGGTATTTTATTCTTTTTGTTGCAATTGTGAATGTGAGTTCACTCATGATTTGGTTCTCTGCTTGTCTATTGTTGGTGTATAGGAATCTTGTGATTTTTGCACACTGATTTTGTATCCTGAGACTTTGCTCAAGTTGCTTATCAGCTTAAGGAGTTTTTGGGCTGAGACGATGGGTTTTTCTAAATATACAATCATGTTATCTGCAAACAGAGATAATATGACTTCCTCTCTTCCTATTTGAATATGCTTTATTTCTTTCTGTTTCCTGATTGCCTTGGCCAGAACTTCCAGTACTATGTTAATAGGAGTGGTGAGAGAGGGCATCCTTGTCTTGTGCCGGTTTTCAAAGGAAATGCTTCCAGTTTTTGCCCATTCAGTATGATATTGGCTATGGGTTTGTCATATATAGCTGTTATTATTTTGAGATGTGTTCCATGAATACCTTGTTTATTGAGAGTTTTTAGCAAGAAGGGATGTTGAATTTTATCAAAGGCCTTTTCTGCATCTAATGAGATAATCATGTGGTTTTTGTTATTGGTTTTGTTTATGTGGTGGATTATGTTTATTGATTTGTGTGTGTTGAACCAGCCCTCCATCCCAGGCATGAAGCTGACTTGATTGTGGTGGACAGGCTTTTTAATGTGCTGCTGGATTCGGTTTGTCAGTATTTTATTGAACATTTTTGCACTGATATTCATCAGGGATATTGGCCCGAAATTTTCTTTGTTTTTTGTTAGATCTCTGCCAGGTTTTGGTATCAGGATGATGCTGGCCTCAAAATGAGTTAAGGAGGAGGCCTTCTTTTTCTATTGTTTGGAATAGTTTCAGAAGGTATCGTATCAGCTCCTCTTTGTACCTCTGGTAGAGTTCAGCTGTGAATCCATCTGTTCCTGGGCATTTTTTTGGTTGGTAGGCTATTAGTGCCTCAATTTCAGAACTTGCTATTGGTCTATTCAGGGATTCGACTTCTTCCTGGTTTAGTCTTGGGAGGGTGTATGTGTCCAGGAGTTTATCCATTTCTTCTAGATTTTCTAGTTTATTTGTATAGAGGTGTTTATATTATTTTCTGATGGTAGTTTGTATTTCTGTAGGATCAGTGTTGATATCTCCTTTATCATTTTTTATTGTCTATTTGATCCTTCTCTCTTTTATCAGTCTAGCTAGGGGGTATATTTGTTAATTTAAAAAAAACAGCTTCTGGATTCATTGATTTTTTTTTTTTTTTGAAGGAGGCTGTTTTAAAACAAAGTGTAGTACAACATTAAAGCGATAAGCCTAATTGTGACTTTATAAAGGGCATCTGATATAAATATCAATGTGTTCTCACACAGGATGTGCTGGGAACTCAGTCATAGGCTAACTTGTAGGGAAGAGGAAAAAGGTAGAAGATGTTTGAGATAAAGCAAAAAAGAATTTACTTGGCAATAGTCTTTTCCCCAAAGGTCAGTGTCCAGGAGCCTTGGAAAGCATAGACTTGACACACCTGCCCATATGCCCATTTCATGTCAGCCAGGGTATACATGCCAGTACTTTATAAACTTTTGTGTTTACTTGAAAACCTCTGTAGATCTGTTCCTATCTATAGGGGCCTCCTATGTAAAATGAACCTCTTTGAATATTGGTCTTAAAATCCCTTAAGATGAGCAGTGGCATTGCTCAAGGTTAAATACTTCAGAAGATTGTGAATTTAGATAACTGCTGCAGATGAGAATAAGGGAAACAGAGGGCCAGAATCTCTGGAACTCAGTCAGTCAGGTTGCTCATAAGAAAAGTACTCTAGATCCATATGAGACTAAAGAAAAAATAAGGAAATCAAGAACAGTTGTATGGCTTAGGCCAATGCATCTGTAGTTTGAGGAAGGGTTAGAGCTCAGTGAGCAAATCACCCTGGAGTGATCACACAACTGAGGTTTTCGGGTGCCCATAAGAGAGTATGTCCTGAGATGTTCATTTTCCTTTTCAAATTTGTTCATTTGAAATTTGTTCACATGAACAAAGATGTTCATTTTGCTAATCAAAAAGGCATAATTAAAAGTGACCAAAACATTAGAAATAAATTCTATAATTTTTATATTGAAAAGGCCTTAAAACACATTCATTTTATTTTCCAAGATATACGTGTGCAGAGAATTTAAGTGACATACCTCAAGGTCATACAATTAGTTCATGACAGAAGTAAGACCATGACATAGAGCAATTTTCATATGGGTGTTATTCATGTTATGCAGAAACATTTACCAGTTTCTATGCTTTCCTGGTCTTTTATGCGGTTTCCCTATAGATAAATAGCTAAGTAAAAGCCATATTTTTATGTTAATAAAACGATATGACTCAGAAATTTGGCAGTTATAGTAGAGGACCAAAGTTTCTTTTCACTCAAAAATTGATTTAATAACTGCTTTGGCTGTCAACTTCTTTTTGCTTGTCTCATATGCCTTGCAAGAAAAGTAGTTCTTTAACTCCCCATTTTATTCTCACTTTGATTTAACAATGAGAATTACTTATAAATCATAAACATTACAAATTCAATGTGCATATTCCTCAGATCATTGATTAAAAGAAAGAGTGCATTTTTATGCACCTACTAAGGTTATATTCTACTGTAAATGATTTAGAAATTAATAGCGACAGAATGCCAGCTAAGATGCAAACTACCTACAGTAATCTGGCTAGGTGTCCAGTCAAGGATCACTCATCACTTACTCATCATATCACTTGGTAAAGGGAGTCTGGTCCTCTTTACTCTTCAATAAATCTCCAAACAGAAATATTTAAAAACTGCATTTGTTCTCATTAGAAGTAGGGGAAGAAATGTTAGGGAGAGAGACTTACTACACCATGCACCTATTTCAAAACATCTTACCTCCATCTTGCTGGGCTTCCACAAAAGAGGGGTGTGTGTGTGTGTATATATGTGTGTGTATATGTGTGTGTGTGTTTGTGTGTGTGTGTGTGTACCTACTGTCTCCCTTTTGAGTTTTCGAGGTGTTGCTGATGTGTTTGGGGTGTATAGGTGTATATGCTATTGATTTCTTTGGACCAACATACTGCTTTTTAGATGTAGCACCACTTTAATGATAATGATTTCCGTTTGTTTTCACATTAAGATGTAGGTAAAAGCACATTATTGCAGGAAAAAGACCATTTGTCCCAAAATCTTGGATTTATTTTATCTTTTTGAACATTGATGACTTTGCACTGTTTCCCAAAAAACTCAAAAGAGAAGTCTGTCTCCCCCAGAATTGAGGATCATGGGTAGAATTCTGTTTGCTAGACACTGTTGTATGTTATAAAACAAAACAAAACAAAAAACAAAGTTTACATTGGAGATATATATATATTATATATATATATGAGACTGAATAGTATACATGCATGTTAAAATAGCAAAACTATATACAGTAAGTCCCCTGTTGACATCATAAAGTCTTGGAAACCAACTTTAAGCAAAATGATGCACAGCAGGTCCTCAAATAAAGTTGTTTTGTTCAGTGTTTCCTTATATGTCATTTTGCTGAAAGTAGCAGTTGCCAAGGACCTATTGATGATGTTAAATGAGGATTTATTGTATATCACTGATAGATTTTAAACACACCCTAGATATTGGCTATCACAGGAAGAAACTAAACTGATCATTGAAAAGCACAGTAAATGCTTGATTTTAAGGTATCTGATTTGATTAATCTGAGAATCCCAGAGTACATCATAAGCTATTTAATAATCAAAATCAAAATTACCAATTCCATGATAGATATAAACATCCAGTTACTTCTAGTTGTAGTGAAATATTAGGGTGATCAACCATCCTGATTTGCCTGAGATAATGGGTTTCCCAGATATAAAACTCTGAATGCCAAAACCAGAACAGTTCTGGTCAAAATGAATGGTTGCATATTCTATGTTATTTTACTTAACATAGAATATTTTACCTAATATAATTAAAATGAATCAAATTGCCAAAATGCAAAAGGAAAACAGTATATTATTAGTTTTATTTGTCAAACTATGGAGTATGAATTTGTCAAATAAAACTAATAGATCTGGCTTTGTCTTTTAATACTCTAAATGCTTTTGAAGCAATATGAGAAAACTGTTTAAGAAGCACTGCCATAATTGTGATTGACTACATTTGTACTCTGGCAGCTTCAAGCCACACATTTGGGTTTTAAAGGGGCCTCAGAATTATTCACCAAGCACATCTATTGCAGAGATAAATATTAAATATCGATAATATGCCCTCATTTTATATAAGTGGAAAAGAAACTACCTTGAAATATCTTGAATATATACCTACATATAATAGGCCCTGAACCTGAACATAAATTTGAGTCCTACATCCAATCTCTGTGAAATATATATACCAAATAATCCTGAACACAACATGCAGAATATCCTAACTATTATCATTGCAATCTAACTATCATGTGTAATTTACCTCAGATCTGGACTCTTTCAATTTCAACATGGAAACGAATCAAATCTAACTCTTTTCTTTCCCATGCCTAATGATTGTAAAACTCCTTTCAGATCGGCATACCTGCCTCAGTTAAAAATTTGGTAAAGCCAGATCAAACTCAGATCAGAAATTGATTGAATTTCTTACTGCCTTCTAAAGTAGGTCTACTCCTTAATGTTTTGTTTAGGTAGTTTCATGTTGTTTTAATACAAGTTTCTATCTATTTATTTATCTTAACAATACTTTTACATGCCTCTCATTGTCTCATAAATTTGGATCCTAGTTGTAACAGCATTTTATTTGTTATGTTTATAAGTTTTAGGCTTGTCCATGCCCTTCTCTCTAGTCTGAATGTCCTAACTTCTTCATCAGTCCATGTCAAATCCTAATCACCTTTCAAGAAAAAGTACTATCATCTTCATGAAGGATTTTCTGATCACTTTTACCCTAATCCCCATGTCAGTTTGAACATTTCTGTATTCTCTTACTTCTCTCTTTAAAGCTCCATCAACAGAATATTCATTGCTTATGTCATCTAAGATTTCTTTGTAACCCTTTTTACTTATTAGCAGTCTGTAAAATTCATCATTTTTCTTCTTCACTTCCATGATATCCTCCAAATAACTTAATACTGGAGATTATTCAAAGGTACATTGCTTAGAAGGTGCCTTATTTAGCAGTGTGCTTAAGAAGGGGTACAAACCAAGTGCCAGACGATTTAGTTTCCACACTCCAGTTGGGTGATCAAAGCTCTATAATATTTGGCAAATAATTCAATAATCTCTGAGACACAAATTCTGTATATGTAAAATGACAGTTATATTAATGTATGCTTTTAATTTTTTGTAAGAAAAAATATACATGTTACCACCTTGTATGTTGTAGTGATGATATATAAATGATAGTGTGATTGAAGCATGACTTTGATTTTATAATTTTAATTATTTTTGTTCAGTAAAGACACAGTATTCAGAATATTGTAACAGAGAAGAAAGGAAGACTCCAGAGATGGAGATATATAATTTGTTATGTCTGTCAAATCACACTCCACAGCTGGATTTTACTCTTTGAAAGTAGAACAGGCTGAGTAAGTCAGTAAAAATGTTTCTCATTGGGGAAAAATATCAGAAGAGCAGGAGGTAAAATAGCTGCTCCTAAGTTCCTTAACATGAAAATTTCTCCCTGATGAAGCAGCTGCCTTCAAAGAAGAGTCTGTACTGCCACTCAGCTTTCAACTGGAAGAAATATTTCTCCCCTCAGTGATTACCCACAGGAATTGCCTCCAGCCATGTATACCCTGTTCACCAGGCTAGAGTCCTCCATGAATCTGCTGCTTATTATCCATTCTACTGTTAATCCTTACCAAAATCTCAATCACAGTCAAGTTCTTTCTGCTTGTCTTTAAAAATGACAAGGAAGTACTAATAAATTTAAATACAGAACTGAGAATTTACATGACTACTCTCAGGGAATATAAATTGACAAACTAAATCCCTGAGATAGTTCAAATGTGTTTTTCTGTTAGTAACTGTTGTTCTTGAGATTCAGATTCCTAGTTTGAACTTTTGCTCTATCTTAAAAGGAAAGGTCTTTACTAAGAGAATATAAAATTCCTTATAGAGTTTGGATAACCATTTGTTATTCAGCTGAAGTTAACCCATAGTTCTTCCTCGGGGTTCTAACATGAAAAGATGAACTGAACTCGGCTTATTAGTACAAAATTGAAACACCCATGGGAAGAGTATAAGCAAACTTTTTCATTGTATAATGCCCACTAATGGCCTGAAATCAGAGCACAAACAGCTAAGTAAGAAGCTATTAGCTTGTTCGTTTGAGGTCTAAACAAAGGATAATGTAATCACTAGGTTTCCTTCTCTACTGTAGATATTAGCCAGGTCTCTTTTTTTTTTTCTCCTTTCATCAAAGCCAATCATTGTAGACAGTCAGTCTGACCAAAGAGCATTAAAAAGATTTCTTCTAAATAATAAGGGCTTTTAAAAAATTTGCCTGCATTATATTAAATACTCTTTAAGCTCTCTTATTCAATTTGCCTGAAGTAGTTCTGTAGTACTAAATCACAAGTGAACATTTCTCAAGAAACTAGAAACTCACTGAGCAATGCAAAGCTATAGATAAAAAGTATAAGACATATTTTGGAATTAGGGTTCCTCTAGGCCTTTACTTAAAGTGCCGAGTCGGGTGTGTTGATGTTCTTCAGGATTGTTTATCATAAGCATTTTACGGTATTACAGGGTTTTTTTTCCTCTCCTAACTGGTTAGTAAAATTCCATTATCCAATGCTATAAATTTTGATTTAGCAATAACTTGCTTGTTTCCTCTGTCATTTGAGCTTTCTTATATAGAAGCAAGCAAAGATGCAGCCTTCAGTCAAATTACAAGGATTAGAAAATGGAATTGAGTTTTTATTTCATGCAAAAAATAACTAAATAGCTGTCAAAATGGCAGAAAATTACAAGCTTCACAGAGCTTATTTGATTTACGCTTTGCTTATAAACATTGTAAAGGATTGATTATCAACTAAAATACGTTTAGATAGAACGTGCATTTTGGGACTTCTAGAAACAAATACATGATTAGAACTTGAAAATCTTTTCTATTATAGTACTGTTTACAGTTCATATAATTACACAATTATACATTGATGAAAATCTTTGATATAAACCATCAAGGGGACATGAAATAACCCCACCCTCCTCCTCTTATCTTGATGAAAAAACTGAAGTATAGAAAAAATAGACAACTTCCTGGTAACTATAGTTAGTGGGGCCATAAATAGAACCCACATCCCTGTTTTCTATATGGACACCTCCCACCAGAGAGTAAGTTTTATCATGTAAAGGAGTGAAAACAAATTCACAAGAATAAATATTTTAAAAATTCAAAATTTTAATGCTATTTAAGAAACTTCTTTCTGAGCCAGAATGTGTTAGAATGCTTATTTTATTCACTTTAAAGTATTTGATTAATGTTATCAATATTTGAATCATTCCAACTCTCCTTGAAACCTCCTTCATGTAAACATTCTGTGAATCATATTCAAAAACCAAAATTGAGCATGTAATCAGTCTGTTTTCATTCTATCTTAAAAACCCATTACTTGTGATTCTATTAAAGATTCAATCATAAAATGTCAATTAGAGTGCATGATGTTTGTCAAATCAGTCTTCATAGACACAGACTCAGAGTTTACACTGTGGAGAGGTGGGAGTAGCAACAGAAAGGGTAGAATTAAAAAGATAAATTTTGTTACACAACAATAAATGCTGTGATAGGAAGGAATATATAGCAGGGAAAGAGGATAAGGAATGTTGAAAGGTTAGGTACTGAAATTTCACATAGGATGGGCTGAGATGGTCTCAATGAGAAGATGACATGTTCATGAACATCTAGCAGAAATAGGAAAGCTAGCCATTGAAATATCTGAAGGAAGAGTCTCCAAAAGAAAGAAAGAGCTTCCAAAAGGAACAAAGAGCAAGTTCACATACTCTGAGGGAGAAGTGTCTTTAAATCTATGAAATAGGAATAAAAATGCTACTTTTCTTAGAGACTTGTTGAAATAGCATGAGAAAGCAGTAAAAAAACTGCATCACTATATCCATAAGGCAGAATTTTTTATTATTATTTTGATGAATATTTTGATTAGAAGGCAAAGAAAACTAAAATATTAGTTCTTTTTTTTAGACGCAGTAACTATGCTGTAAACAGTTATGGTGATTTGAAGCTATTGGCGCTTTGTTCTTAACTGACAGTTTTATCTCAGGGCTTTTCTCTTTAAAGAATTTGATTCACTAAGTCTGAGAGATTCACAGCTCAGACTTCTCAAATTAAAACAGCAACTAATTAAGAGGTCAGATAAGACCACAGATCTACCTTCTTCCTGTTGTTGCAGTCACAGGACCTTTCTGTTCACATACACACAGATGACGAATTGCTATGACATGTAAGATGTTTTGCAGCTGTTTTAGGATTTACTGATGTTCCTTTAACACCTTTCAACAAAAATAAACACCAGTACCTTCCCCCCGCCAAAAAAAACGCTGTATCACACATCTCACAAACACATTAATAGCTTCATCTCCTCTTTACTTATTAGCATACATCTCATAAATCACAATACAAGTTTTTTATATTTTTGTTTTTAAATTTTTTTTTAAATTTTCTACCTGATAATCTTAGGAAAGAAGGAAGGCTAGCTGAACATTAACATAATTTTATTTTGTTTGCTTGTTATCTATTCTTCCAATTTCTCAACCTGAGTCATAACCGTCAGAAATATTTCCTCCATATTATGTGATATTACCTTTTAAATCCCTATACAAATCAAAATGAAAAGATGATACTCCTTTTGACTTGGTAAAAATTGAAATAGAAACTTTCTCTCTGGTTTCTATAAGAAGCACTAGTGATATAAAAATGTAGTTAAATGCTGCCATTACTGATTTAGTGAGTCATTTTTTGGGACAACACAGTGTGGGATCAACTGTCAGGCTTGCGGTAAGACAAATCTCTCAAATTATGACCATTGTTACTAGCTTATTTTCCCTCTCTCCTTACCTCCCTTTCTCTCCTCCTTACCTCTTTCTCACGTAAAGAACTCAGATTTGGCTCTTAAACTGTCATCAGTTGGAGTTTAAACTGTACTGCTTACCAAACATAAACCTGAACTAGTCACTAATTCTCTCTAAGCCCCAGATTCCTCTTCTCTTAGAAAAAGGATAACATATATATTGGGGAAGTGTATGTTCAACTCTTTTTCTATTCTTTTGGTTATTTTTAGTTGGGTTGCTTGCTCTTATTATTAAAATGCTTCCATCTTTTCTATGTTTTGTATACAAGTCTATTATGCCCTTTTTTCCCAGTGTGTGGTTTCTCTTCCCCTTTACTGCAAAGGAAAATTTGTGGGTAATGGAAATATATATCGTGTTATACACAACTCTGTATATTTTCCAAAAATCCTCAAATTATATATTTATAATTGGTGAATTGTATTATATGAAATTAAACTTTAGAACTCATTTTAAAATATAGCCACGGTAGTTAAGAGTTTAAAAATGAGGAACTGTTTCCTATATAATTATTAGTAAGATTCAATAACATTTTAAAATTATAAGCATATAGATACAAATTACATTTAACTAAGCACTGATAAAAAATGTCCATGGTCTTCAGTGAATATATCATTCCAGCAATAAATATCAACAAATAAAATATATTATAACTTTTACTTTCTCTGTTTGTAAGAATTTTTTTTTACAGGGATCTGTCAGAAGGAAATTCTTGTCTTCTCCTAAACAGTTTTATCCAAAAATAAAGATGCAATTACTGGTGACACTGATATATGTAATAAAATGAAGTTTTAAACAATGATCAATAATACTTCAAACATACAGTGTGAAGACAGCCTTTTCTATATAGCCACTTCAGCTAAGTTTTGTCACTATTTAAAGACCTCAAACTTTTCTCAATATTTCTGGCAGCTTATCCTAATGATTACAAACAACAAGTTGGATTTGAGTCCTGGATCTAATCCTATCTAGTTGATAACCTGTAGATATGTGCTAAGCATCCCTGTTCCTCAGTTTCCGTGTCTCCTCCCTTGAAAGGTTATTCTATTTTAGATATGTTAGTGTATGTCAGGGACTTTGTGAAAGACCTGTAATACTTTAAATGCTTAATGAGCACTAATTGATTTTTCTCCAAGCAGATGTCTGGAATTTATATACTAATACTTCGAAATCATATGTTCATTTTGTCATTTGTCAACCTTTCTCTGCTGTACCAATATCACCTTGCAAGGAGGATTTTGACACTTTTAGGATTAGGCAGTGCTGTTTAAGAATAATTCTGAACAGATTAAAACTCGTTGTACAAACAACTGTGAGCAAGGATCAATCCTCTGAACAGAAAGGGAGGTTTCGACATAGACAGTTTAAGAGCATTACCCAAGATCAGTGAAATAATAATTGCATGAGCTTGGACTCAAACTCAGGTCTCTTTATATCAAGATAATACTTCTATTAGTAAGCACTGTTCTCTGACTTGAAGGTCAGATATCAATGCTGTTTTTGTTAGCTCACTGTATATGTCTGGACTCCTTAGGGACAAAAAAAAAGAATAAAAGTCTGTACCCACAGGAAAATTTGTTTAGAAATAATCTAGTAGGAGATATAACAAATAGGAATAAGTATTTTCTTGCCTGGCCACAGCATACTATTGCAGTGTCTCATGGTATGTCTTCCGAGAGACAATATGTTCTGCTACATCTCAGAACAAGGAGAAATATTTTTTCTGCCTCCCTTCTCTCATCTCTCACTCCCATTGCTCTTTCATCCACATGTCTTATGGGCCATTTATTTTCCTGAACTTTCAGCTTGCCTTGCATCCCTAGGCAGCTAAATGAAAGACCAGAGCAACTGTGAATACTGTCTGGCTAGTGATCAGAAAAAGCAGTCTCCCTTGACCAGTTAACACTCCTCATGGTGTTTCTTGTGCTATAGCAACCCAGGGCTTTAGCAGTAGCAAGCTAGGCCCATGAAAGCAATAATAAGACAAGCTAGTACAAGGGCTATTGTGGTCAGAAATCAAGATAAGCACGCCAATCTGGGATGATGTACACAGTCTGACACATCTGACATCAAACTTGTTGGCATCATGGCTGGCTTACTACCTTTCTGATGCCAAAACTGACTCCTTCAAAAAGCTTTCTATTTTTAATTTTACTATCATCAGAGGATAAACTATATAAGTAGATCAAAATGGAGCACTCACTCATGACATTCCAATATCTCTCTAATTATTGCAATAGATAATTTAAACTGCTTGGTATGGCATGTAAGGCCAACCACAACCTAGCCTCAACTTACCACTTTAGTCATATCTTCTTGTCAGACTTCTACACTACAAAATGTACCTCGGTTCCATATATACCAAATATATCACCAAGTAAATGACTGAGAATCTCAGTGTTTTGCAACATGAAACACTAATTTCTTATTCATACCAGTAAGTGTGGGTTATTTATGGCTCAGCTGAATGTAGCTGGTTTCAGCTGGTTTTAGACAAGTTCACTTGGGCTTGGCTGGACCAGATTTAAGTCTTCTCAATGTATCTTTTTATTCTCTGATCTTAGTCACAGAACAACCACTATCTGTGATTTTTCTCATGTACAGGCATAAAACTCAAGAAGAAATGTAAAAACATATGATGTCTTTTAAAGCTCTTTCTACTAACAGGCCCACCATCACTTGCCTACTCATGCTTCTGCCAAGGCAAGTTACATGGCCAAACCCAAAGTCAGTGGCTCAGGGAATATTCTCTATTTACATTGATGCATAACAAGAATGAGGGGAGGCTGTGAGAAAGATTACAATCTAATCAGCTCCCAAATATACAGCCTTCTTTTATGTCTATGTTTCTTTTATATCTGGAATGTCTTTGAATAATAAATTCTGCTATGAGGTAAAGAAATTCTTATTTAAATGTCTATTTTTTAAGCGCATGGCCTACATATTTATTCAATCCTCAGTTGAGTGTAGCCCCTGCCACTTACTAACTTGTGCAAATATTTATTTTTGTGAGTCAAGTTTATCCATAAAATATAATTGTACCTGAGCTGGGTTATTTTAAGGATTATACATACGTATTAGAGTGAGCAAATTCCTTTAACAAAACAAAACAACAACAAAATCAGGGTTAAAGCAAATCTGAATAGCTTAGCAAGATGTAATTTATTGCTCATTCACATAAAGTCCAACGTGGGCATTCCTGATTTAAAGGTTCTTTCCCAAGCAGTAATTCAGGAATCTAGGTTGCTTTTATCTTGCGATGTAGCCATTTTCATTATATCACAGTCAGGTTTTCTATGAAAGAAGATGAGAACAAGAGAATGAACACTAGGTATATAAACACTCAGGCCCAGAACTGCTATACGTAGATTCTGTTCACATTCCACTGCCAAAAGTTGTCACATGACTGCCAAGATGATGCAAGGAGGATGAGGAATGTAGTGCCTAAGAGGTTCTTATGGAATGGAAATGAGAATCTGTGCTGTTTAACCATCCCTGCCACAGAATAGAAAGTGCATGGCCCATTATCTGGTCCATATTACTCTCTCAATACACACTATATAATAAAGGTAGCCAAGTTAGAAAAAAGCATGTAAAAAAGAAATGGAAATTAATACAAATATTATAGAAATAATTCATAGTTAAAATATTAACCTAGATATTTTTTAAATTTTTGACATGTCACTGTTTAGATAAATGATATATGTTCAATTTTCCTTTCATTTTGTAATACCATTCAATTTTTATAAAAATGCTCTTAATTTTTTAATTAAAATGAGCTAAAAGTAGTGTTCTAGGAAATTAACAATACATTTTCATTCCCTTCTGCTCCATCTAACCAACTTCAAGATGGAATTAGAAGAATGCTAGTTTGCAGTTAGAAAACCAAGCCTGAAAGCCGCTTGTGCCCATCATGAATTCTGTTTTCAATAACTAGAAGTCAGGATTAATAGATAGACCCATATTTGTTGGTCTCAGGAAAAAAATATCATTATTGTTCCCATTGCAAAGATACAGTAACATGTTTTCCCATCATGACCTTGTTTAGACAATTTAAAATGTTTTATTTCTTCTTAATATCCCTTCTACATGTTTTATTTCTTCTTACCCTCACTTGTCAGAAAGGATCATTGGTACTAATAACTCTTGTCCAAATATTCACTGGTGGGTAGTAATAGCTCTTAATATTACTATTATAATTTATTAACCAATTTGGCAACTTCCCTCCATGCAGCTGAAACATTGAACAACAGTTGTTTGAAAACCATTGCTTTAGAGAATGAAAGCTTTGTGTATTTTAAGCATAGTGCAGCCAGCCATGATCCAGGAAGTTTTCCTTTACCAAGCCCTTTCTGCAGCGACTGTTAATGTTAGGAAATAGTGTGTTATGGAATAAATTACTAGCTGGGAAATCAGGATGTCTGAATTCTAGTACACATTTTGCTACTGCAAACTCTGTAACCTGCAGGGCAGCACAAAGCACAAAATATTACTGATGAAATACTGCTGCACATGTAAATGAAGTACAGACATAAAAATGGCTGAGGGCCACTGTGCTAAGTAAGCTAACAGAAGGCAGTTCACAGCTCAGGTTATATTCCAAATTGATGATGACACTGAGCTACATTTTCAAGAGACCTGATGTATACTCCAACCTTGGAAAAATTGCAATAAAGACCAACCAAGTGTCTCTGTGAGAAAAAACTTTTTGCATTGCCTCATCTTCTCTTGTCTCTTTGCTGTAAACTGCCATTATTGAAAATATATGGAATATACATAAATATGAAGGATTTGACAAGCAGGGGAAGGATCAGGAACTAGAAACAATGGGATTTTCTGCAGCTTACATAAAAACAGATACCTGTTTTGTGCTCATTACTGTGTAGTTTTTGTTTTCCTATGGTCTACTGAACAACTTATTAAGTGATACACACAGAGACACTCACACAGTCTGTGGCAAACAAAAGTTGAATTAGATAAACTCAGCATTATTAAATGTCTTACATGATTTTTACGAAATACAAAACATATTTACAAAATACAAAACATATTTTTTCTTTGTAAGAATACTATGACTAAAGGTGTGAAGATAGTGTTTCACAGAATAGATATTTTCTTGGAGGATCCATACTTAACTGTTAAAAAAAAATTGTGTTTTACCCATTGATAGTTTATTTAGAGAAATAAACTGTGTATTCTCTGCACTGAACTCTAATTTCAACCTCCAGGGGCTAACTAATTTGTATTCCACAAGATTCAAGGCTGACTTTGGAGCATGTGTAAAGGTTGTAGCAAAACGTGTAATACCAGAAAGAGAATAAAAATGTTTTAGTTCAATGGAGAGTGTAGCAAGTTTTCTCTTCATACCTCATGTACCACCCCAATGCTCTGTAGACTTCAGAAGACTAGTCACAGAGCCAGAAGAAAAGGCATGTTTGACCATAAACAAGAGATGTATTTTTGGTGCAAATTTCAAGAGCAGTCACCAAACTGTTGGATTCCCCACATAAACTTGGACCCTGGTCTAGATGGAAGATTGGCCATTTCTCAGTTGCCCTTTTGAAAACAACATAGCAGGAAACTTTAAATACTGTTTAGAAGCATCTCAAACTTTTATCGCATATGAATTTTGTTGTTCTTTACTCACTTATTCTCATATGAATGCCTTCCTAAGTTTCAAAGTAATGCACCACTGTGTGTAAATTGTGCTTAAAAAAATGCTAGTTAAAAATAATCTCTTGATCTCAATTTCCCTACCAATGTTTCATATGTATTAAATTGTTTTTGGAGTTGAAGATCTAGATTTCTGTTCAATAGAAATTATAATCCCCAATGGGAGTGCCACAGACACACATATGTACAAACAATCTCTCTAAATGTTGCACTTTTTCTTTTTTTTTTTTTGAGACAGAGTTTCACTCTTGTTGCCCAGGCTGGAGTGCAATGGTGCAATCTCGGCTCACTGCAACCTCTGCCTCCTGGGTTCAGGCGATTCTCCTGTATCAGCCTCCCGAGTAGCTGGTGTTACAGGTGCATGCCACCATACCCAGCTTTTTGTATTTTAATAGAGATAGGGTTTCGCCATGTTGGCCAGGCTGGTCTCTAACTCCTGACCTCAGGTGATCCACCCGCCTCGGTCTTCCAAAGTGCTGGGATTACAGGCGTGAGCCACCGTGCCTGGCATGTTCCACTTTTTTTGTTGTTGCTGTTGAAACAGGGTCTCCTTTTCACCCTGAGTGCAGTGGCACATACGTGGCTCATTGCAGCCTTGACTTTCTGGGTTTAAGTAATCCTCCCACCTCAGCCTCCTGCGTAGCTGGGACTACAGGTGCATGCCACCATGCCTAATTTTTGAATTTTTAGTAGAGACTGGTTTTGCCATGTTTCCCAGGCTGGTTTCAAACTTCTGGCCTCAAACAGTCCTCCTGCCTCAGCTTCCCAAAGTTGTGGGATTACAGGCGTGAGCCACTGTACCTGGCCTAAATGTTGCACTATTAATCTGAGATTTCCCAAATGTTTTGGTCAGCTCATTGAGTTGGATTCCAATTTGGTATATCTTTTCTGTCATACTTGAAGATGTTAAACATATACTGGTTCTTAGTTAAAACAGTGATAGTCCAGGACATATTTCTTAAGATAATGTTATTGAAATTAACATTATAAGTAATTTTATTTTTATTTTGAAAATATTTTATAGGCTCTACTTGCTCATTTTTTTTTTTGTTCAAAAGCCTTTGGGAAAGCAAGAAAATAAATGGATTTGAAGTAAGAAAAAAAGTGTGAATGCTTCCCCCTTGTCACTATATGCTATTTTTTATTCTTCTGACAGAGCAATTGTTCTGGGGAACAAATGGATTTTGTCCCTCTGCTGATTAAAACCAAATCAGTGGCTACTCATCACCCAGCAGAAAGGTGTCCAAATACTCTAACATGGCACAAAATGGCCCCTGAGATCTGTAACTTACCTTCTCTGCAGGTTTCCACTGTCAGCACATTTCTGAATAAGCCAGTGCACAACTTGTAGTTTCCTACAACAGTTCTTCAGAAGCAGCACAAGGATTGCTCTTTTCTTACTGTTTGAAGTTGTCTGTTAGTGACTACCTCCTCTATCCAGCTGTGATCTCCTTGAGATTTTAATGTGTTTTTAAATTCTGCCCTTTGCACACTTCAGTTTAACTGGATGGATAGACAGACTGACAGATTAATAGATAGAATTAGTTTCTGTTCTCTGGTAAAACAGAAACAGCAGGATTTTATAGAGCTATGTAAACATATACATATATATACATATTAATATATATTATGTATCTTTCTCTAAAAGCGATTTGTTATACGGAATTGGTTCCCTTGGGTCACAGTGTTATGGAGGCTAAGTCCCATGATTGAGAGTTGGCAAGCTGGAGAGGTAGGAGAGACACTGGTATAGGTCCAATCCTACTCTAAAGGCTTGAGAACCAGAAGAATCGCTGATGTAGGTTTTAGTCTGAGTCCTAGTCCCAAGTTATGAGAAGACCGATGTCCCAGCTTAAAATCAAAGAGAGAGAGAGAGAGTGAATTTTCTCATAACTCAGTCTTTTTTTAATTAGCTGTTTATTATCTTTTTTTTTCTTCAGATTTTAAGTTCAGGGGTACATGTGCAGGAGGTGTAGGTTTGTTACGTAGTTAAACGTGTGCCATGGTGGTTTGTTGCACAGATGAACCCATCACCTAGGTTAAGCCCAGAAACCATTATCTGTTCTTCCTGATGCTCTCCCTACCCCTGTACCACCCTCAACAACAGGCCCCAGTGTGTGTTGTTCCCTGCCATTTGCCCATGTGTTCTCATTGAACAGATCTAGATCTTTGAGGAACTGCCACACTGTCTTCCACAATGGTTGAACTAATTTACATTCCCACTAACTGTAAAAGCATTGCTTTTTCTCCACAACTTAACCAGCATCTGTTGTTTCCTGACTTTGTAATAATCGCCTGACTGGTGTGAGATGGTATCTCATTGTGGTTTTGATTTGCATTTCTCTAATGATCAGTGATACTGAGATTTTTTCATAGGCTTGTTGGTAGCATAAATGTCTTTTAGGAAGTGACTGTTCATGTCCTTTGCCCACTTTTTAATGTAATTGTTTTTTTTTTTTTTTTTTTGTAAATTTGTTTAAGTTCCTTGTAGACTCTAGATATTAGACTTTTGTCAGCTGGACAAATTGCAAAAATTTTCTCCCATTCTGTAGATTGTCTGTTCAATGTGATGATAGCTTCTCTTGCTGTGCAGAAGCTCTTTAGTTTAATTAGATCCTGTTTGTCAATTTTTGCTTTTGTTGCAATTGCTTTTAGTGTTTTCATCTTGAAATCTTTGCCCATGCCTATGTCTTGAATGGTATTGCCTAGATTTTCTTTGAGGGTTTGTATAGTTTTGGGTTTTACATTTAAGTATTTAATCCATCTTGAGTTAATTTTTGTATAAGAAACAGGCCCAGTTTTAATTTTCTCCTTATGGCTAGCTAGTTCTCCCAGCACCATTTATTAAATAGGGAATCCTTTACACATTGCTTGTACCTTTTTTGATAAAACACTAAAGACACAATTCATGAAAGAAATAATTGACCAGATGAATTTTATTGAAACTAAAATTTTTTGCTGAGAGAAAATGTTTGAAAAAGGCATATCTGATAAAGGACTGTAATCCAAAGTATGAAAAGAACTCTTAAAACTCAAGAAGGTGAACAGTTGAGTAAAAAATGAGCAAAAGATTAGAACAGACATCTCACTAACAAATCTATATAAATGTCAAATAAACATATGAAAAGGTGCTCAACATCATATGTCACTAGGAAATTGCAAATTAAGACAATAATATATCACTACATACATATTTGAAGGGCTAAAATGCAAAACACTGATAGTATCAAATGCTATCAAGGATGTGGAACGATGGAAGCTTTCATTAATTGCTAATGGGAATGCAAAATAGTACAACTGCTTTGAAAGGCAGTTTGATATTTTCTTACAAAACTAAACATACTCTTACTGTACAAACCAGCAATCACAATCCTTGGTATTTACCCAAGTGAGTTGAAGATGTACATCCTCACAAAAACCTGCACACAAATGTTACTTGTAGTTTTATTCATAATTGTTAAAACCTGGGAGTCATCAAGATGCTCTTCGGTGGGTAAATGGATAAATAAAATATGATGCATCATGCAAAAGAGTATTCAGCACTAAAAAGAAATGAGCTATCAAGCCAGCAAAAAGACATGGAGGAATCCTAAATGCATATTACTAAATGAAATATGTCATTCGAAAAGGCTATATGCTGTGTGATTCCAACTACACGACATTCTGGAAAAGGCAAAATTTTTGGGAAAAAGTAGTAAAAAGATAACTGCTTGCCATGGGTTTGGAGGGAGGGATGAATAGGTAGAACTCAGGAGTTCTAGGGGGGCAGCAAAATTTGTATAATGCTGTAACGATGGATGCATCCCATTTGTCAGAACCCATAGAGTGTACTACACAGAGTATACCCTAATGCAAACTATGGACTTTGGTCAATAATCATGGGTTCATCAATTGTTAATAAATCTACCACACTGGTGTGGGATGATGATGGTGGGGTAAGCTGTTGTGGAGGAGTGGATAGTATGTGAGAATTCATTATATCTTCCATCTACAGTGAACCCAAAATTTCTCTTAAAAAAAAAGCCTATTAGTAATAACGCATTAATAAACAGCTTTCTTCTTTTTAGATATCTGGTGAAAGTTGAGGAGAACTGATCAGAAGGAACAAGAATGGTAGTTTAATCTGATCGGAAGAAATATGAATGGTAGTTTCATCTAATTTGTTTTCCTTGTGACTTACCACGGTTAGTAAAAAGAAACATCTCACAATTTTAGGCTTTGAAGGGTTCTTTTCTTTTCTCTTTTCTCTTCTTTTCTCTTCTCTCTTCTGTCTTTGCTCTTCTCTCTTCTTCTTCTTTTTTTTTTTTTAAATACAGAAGTCTGATGTCCATAAAGGGTTTTTCATGTGGATGCTCATTCTCTTAACCTGTCTATTTTTCTTTCATTTTCTTTCAAACAGACCCCCTTTAATTTCAACTGCCCACCTAGGGAAACCTTACTTTTTTCCTTTCAAAAAATAAACAAACAAAAAGTTTATGATGGTTTGTTAATCTCTCATTGTCTTTGAAATTCTAGTTTTTCCAATTAGGGTCTATATAAATAAAGGCTTAGGGTTTGGATTTGTTTTTCCTTTTTGTTAACTTCTAAATGAGATTGGGTCATTTGAGAACAAGGAAAGCTGTGGATATACATCTAGTCATTGTATTTTTGAAACATCTAGAGGATGTTCTCCTCTAGAATCAAAAATGAAGAGAACTTTACTTTGATAAGTAAAATTATACACAAACAAAAGGCTGTTAACTTGTGAGTAAATTCTTTATGTTAACATGACTTTCATCCTGTTTTTGTTGGAAAAAGAATAACAGTACTTTACAGAAGAACATTTAACTCCCAGAAAAAAATGCTTACTTTGCTTTAATTGAAAATGGCTGTCTTACCCACTTAGTAAGAGACAAACTACTTAGATTGTTTTTCTTTTATTGTTTTGTTCTTCTATAAAAAAGTTTAGAACTTCTTTATAAAATATTTGTTAGAAACAATTTTTTAATTAAAAAAGTACAAAAAATTATATCAATCACCCAGATTTAATAATTGTCAGGATTTTGTCTCATCTGGGATGTTTAATATATTTTTTTCTTACCTGAAGCATTTTAAAACAAATCCAAAACATCTTGATACTTTATTCATACATGTTTTGGTATGTATCACTAAAACACAATAATTTTATTATATAATTTAAATGCTATTTTTACATCTAACAAAATTAATTTTAATTTCTTAATATAATCTATTAGTCTAATACAATTTTCTTGATTGCTTCATTAAATTTTTTTTCCCCACTTTCTGGTTTGCAGAAATAAGGATCTCTAAAGGCTTTTATATTACATTCTGTTGTTTTGTCTCTGAGGTGTCCTTTTTTTTCTTTTGTAAACTTTTTATTTTGATGTAATTGAAAATTTAGAGAGCACTTATAGAAAAGTTTTAAAATAGTACAAGAAACTCCAATATATCCTTTAAACAGACTAACCACTTATTCATTACAGTTTGTACTAGTTTGTACTATTTTAAAAAAATATTCTATCCATCTATTACTGATCCATCTGTGTGTGTGTGTGTGTGTGTGTGTGTGTGTGTGTGTGTGTGTACACATCTGTCTATGGATTTGTGGAGACATCCTGCTTTCTTACACCTAAATATCTTGGTGTATACTTCTTAATGAGAACATTTTGTTATAAAACCACAGTATGGTTTTCAACCTGAAGAAATTTTATTTTAATACAATACTGCTATATAATCCAAAATTCAAAATTGATATTTTTTATTTATTTTTCTAACTTTTATTTTAAGCTGAGAATTCAATAGAATAGTTTTTAAATGTTATCTTTCCTTCTGTCTTAATTAACTACAATTATGTTTAAAATTTTTTCCTCATAAATTATTTCCTTAAACTATATTATGATAAAGAGAAGGTAAATGTTTCATTTACTTTCCTTCCCCAATTTTAAATGAGTTAGTACCTTACTTATTGATGAACTGTGAGGATTTTTTTAAAGTGGTGATATAAACTTATGGAGTTTTATACATTTAATATGTTTCAATAATCTGAAATTATTCTTCTCTTCAGTGTGCACATTGCCCCATCTTACACTATTGAAGTACTTTCAAGGTGACTTCTATCTTTTTAACTCAGTGTTACATCCTTGATTTCTTACACAAGATTTCCCAGGCATATCTTGCAGCTTTTTGGTCCAAAGCTTTGAAATAACCATTTTTTTTTCCTGAAGCAATCCTAATTTCTTATACTGGGAAATTATGCTTACATACTACAATCTGGGCAATAGAGATGCTTATCAGTGGTGAGTTGTCAATCACTTCTAGACTTTTCCAGTGGACATAAGTAGGAATATACAGTTTCAATAAGAAATTATAAATTTATGCCATATTTTCAATTTACATTTAGTGTCACATGATTTTTACCGCTCTTGATTTTGTACTTATGTCTCTCTTCACTGGGCAGTCTTTCCAGATACCTAAATATGGTGAGCTATTATGCACAGATTTTCTCTCAGTTCAAAGATAAGCTAACATGGTTCACCCTTCTCTTCTAGGTCCTATGTTGAATATTGCACTTGTTTCTAAATTGTCCATTGAAATGTGTCCCAGCACTCAACTTGTTCCAACCTGCTTGAAAGATAACTAGGTGTAAAACATAGATATATGAGAGATGGACTGCTTAGTTTGAAGGACATAATATTTAACCAGAATTGTACTTTATGTCATCTACTGAGAGACGATGCTTAGCACATTCAAGATCCAAGGTCTCCTTAGAAAATTTTATATACTAATTAATAGCGGTTTCCCCAGATGATGAGTTTCATTGAATCATTCTGCTTTTAGCTAACTTTAACCATTCCCAGGCAATGTCCATTAGCTTAAAAATCTGAACTGGGTAAAACATTCAAGGAAGGACTAACTTATTCTCTATGAAAACATTTTAGTCATTATTTGTCCCCAGCCTACTCATGGAGGAGAAACTAAACACTGAGAATAACCCAGGCTCATATATATATATATACACCCTACATATATATATATGTGCCCTACATACATACATATACTGTGCCCTACATATATATATGTGCCGTACTATATATACATATATACATATGTAATATGAGGCAAGCCCTACAAATACATGTGTTTATATATATATATATATAAAAATTGGTATATATATATAAAATTGGTATTTTTTTATATATATATATAAAATAAAATTGGTAACTTGTTTTCCAAGTTTACAACCCCTCTTTGCCTTGTGGGACATGAAGGTGCAGCTTCTGTTAGCTTAATATTGTCATGATATATTCAGTGCTCACATTCTAACCCATTCCATTTCATCAAATTCAAGATCTGTGCACTGATTAGTAAAATGAGAAAGGAAAGCTAAAGAACACGTTCATACCCAGCTCTGTTTTACTGTGTCACAATGTCACATAACACACTGGTTTTATTACATCTATTTTTACAACCTCTTGTGCTACAATTTAATTTGACAGACACAGTGTCTCTGGAAAAAAATCACAAAATAGTCTTAGAGCAAATAAAGTGATGGGGAAAGGACTTTGCAGCTAGAAAATACGGCATAAGGTTGGGCCAGTGCCCCTGACTGGGGATTGCCAATCAGGGGCACTGGGCCAACCTTAATGCTGCATTTTCCTGAGCTCACAGTTTGTGTATCCTCTTCATATGACTCACTACCTGAGCACTTATGGAGTCTTTTATTCTCTTGAATTCTTAGAGATCTTCTACCAAAGATTGTAATAGGATTAACTTATTCTCTCTCAAAACAGATAATTTTGGTATATTTTTGATTAGAATATATTTGATATTTCCAAGAACTGAAAAGTTTAAAGCATTGCAATCATTTCAAGTGTCTTATTAAAGTTTATATTGTATGACAATTTAACTTTTTAAGACTGTTTTCTTGTTGTGGTAAGACAAATGTGCTAAGAATGTCAAAGAACTCTGTACTGTAATTCAGTTCAAAATTTATTCTAGTTTTAAAATTTTATAATTCCGATAAACATAGATTGAAAACGTTGTAAATGAGCCTGTTCACATTGAATTCATTTGAGGAAAAATGGGTTAGAATAGAAGAATCACTACTTTCAATAATCTAGGGGCAATGCTGTCCAATAGAGTTTTTGGCCATGATAGAAATGTTCAATAGCAGTAATATCCTATATGGTATACAAGTTAGCCAGACATATGTATTAAGCAATTGGAATGTGGCTAATTTGCATAAATAGAACGAAATTTTAAATTGACATAATTACCCCACTACATGCAAGAAAAGGCTTTTGATAAAATTCAGCATCTCTTAACATATAAAAACTCTCCATAAAATTAGACATCAAAGGTACATACCTCAGAATAATAGGCATTTATGAGAGACACATAGCCAGCATCATAATGGGTACAAACTGGAAACATTGCTCTGAAAAATAGAGCAAGACAAAGATACCCACTCTGACCATTCGTGTTCAACATAGTTTTGGAAGTCCTAGCCAGGGCAGTCAGGCAAGAGATGGAAATGAACGGCATCCAATTAGGAAGAGAGGACATCAAACGATCACTTTTTGTAGGCAATGGAATTCTATGCCTGAAAAAACTCACAGCATTTGCCCAAAGGTTCCTGGAACTGATAAACAACTTCAGTAAAGTTTCAGGAAACAAAAATCAATGTAAAAAATCTGTAGCATTTCTATTAATCAACACATCACATCCAACCTGAGCCAAATCAAGAATGCAATTTTTTTCACAATAGCCACACACACACACACAAAATAACGAGGAATACAGCTAACCAGAAAGGGGAAAAATCTCTACAATGAGAATTACAAAGCACTGCTCACAGAAAAGAGATGAAATAAACAAGTGGAAAAATATTCCATGCTCATGAATAGGGTGAATCAATATTGTTAAAATGGCCATACTCCCCAAAGCAATGTAAAGATTCAGTGTTATTCCTATCAAAGTACTAATTTCATTTTTATAGAATGGAAAAAAAATTCTAAAATTTATACGAAACTAAAAAGGACCCCAAATCACCAAAGCAATCCTAAGCAAAAAGGACAAAGCCAAAGGCATCATACTACTTGATGACTTTAAACTACACTACAAGATGACAGTAACCAAAAGAGCATGGTACTGATACAAAAACAGACATATAGATCAATGAAACGGAATAAAGAATCCAGAAATAAAGCCATGCACCTAGAATCATCTGATCTGTAACAAAGTTAACAAAAACAAGCCATGGGGAAAGAATTTCCTGTTTAATAAATGGTGCTGGAATAACTGGCTATTCAGATGCAGAAGATTGAAACTGAGCCACTTCTTTTCACTATATACAAAAATCAACTCAAGATGAATTAAAGGCTTACATGTAATACCTAAAGCTGTAAAAACTCCAGAAGAAAACATAGGAAATGCCATTGTAGACATAGTCATGGGCAAAGATTTCATGATAAAGTTTCTGAAGGCAATTGTAACAAAAACAAAAATACACAAGTGAGACCCACATAGCTTCTGCACTGCAAAAGAAACTACCAACAGAGTAAACAGACAACCTACTGCGTGGGAGAAAATATTTGCAATTGATGTATCAATTATCTAGATCTATAAAGTACTTCATAAGCAAAAACCAAACAAACATAATTTAAAAAATGGGCAAAGGACACAAACATTTTTCCAAAGACATTCACGCAGCCAACAAGCATATAAAAATGCTCAACATTACTAATCATTGGACAAATGCACATCAAAACCACAATGACATGCCATCTTACACAGTCAGAATGGCTATTATGGAAAAAGTCAGAAAATAACAGATGTTGACAAGTTTGCAGAGAAAAGACAACACTTGTACACTGCTGGTGGGAATGTAAATTTGTTCAGCCTCTGTGGAAAGTAATTTGGAGATTTCTCAAAGAACTTACAACAGAACTACCATTCAACCCAGCAATCCCATCACTAGTTATACACCCAAAAGAATATAAAGTGTTCTACGAAGAGACATGCACTTATATTTTTATTGCAGCACTATTCACAATAATAAACATGGGAAATCAAGCTAGATGCCCATCAATGGTGGAATGGATTAAAAATGTGTTACATATACACCATGGAATACTACTCAGTCATTAAAAAAATGAAATCATGTCCTTTGCAGCACCATGGATGCAGCTGGATACCATTGTCCTAAGTGCATTAATGCAGGGACATAAAGTCACATAAATTTTCTCACTTAGAAGTGGGATCTCAACATTGAGTACATGTGGACACAAAAAGAGGAACTCTAGACACAGGGGCCTACTTGAGGGCGGAGAGCAGAGGATAGCGAGGGTCAAAAAAGTACCTGTCAGGTATTATGCTTGCTACCTGGGTGACAAAATCATTTGTACACCAAATCCCAGAGACATGCAATTTTCCCATGAAGCAAAGGTGCACATGTAACCCCTGAACCTAAAATAAAAATTTTAAAAGAGGGAAAAAAATGTGGCTAATTTGATTGTAGAACCGAAGTTTTAAATGTATTTAGTTTTGATATAATCATGTGTTGGGTAACGTACATGTAGGGACTGAGAAAAACTCGACACTCCTTGCTTAAAATTTTGTGGTGATTTAGGGTATTTTATTTATCAAGTAATAATTTACATAGGATACATTTGCATTAGATAGTGAGACTCTATTGAAATTTAGTTACAGTAGATCCTTGTATTTATAATGTCTTCTTTTTGGAAAATAAATTATCTGGCAACTGGCCTTTGAATTTATCATAAAAATTACGATTCTTTCAGTTTTGTTATTAAAGAATGTGATGTGGAACTACTGAGAGGATTTTGTATGAAATCTGACTCTTTTTTTCATTTATGAGGTACTTTTTTTCCCACTGTAATTTTATTCCTCCGTCATAAACTCCCCCTTCTCCTATGTTGTTCTGAATTAATAGCAATATAGTTCGCAGTTTTCTCAGGTTGTAACCATTTCTTAATTGTGTGAAGAGGATGTGTCAAGAAAAGCAATGGCTTTTGTTTATTTGCATTCACTGCATCAGAAATAGTGAAATGAGTTACTGAATGTTTTGCTGCAAATAGTTTAAAATTACTTATTCAAATGAGATGACATTTAGAAAGAGGTGACTCATTTCAAATCATGCAACAAAATTGATCAAAGGCAGATGCCATACTGTGTCTACCAAACTCTAATCTAGTTTTTTCTTTTCCACTATGTCAAATGGATGAAGTACCAATCATTTAACTATACTGGACTTCAGAAGAAATTAAATAGGTTTCTGCTTCTTTTTAATTATCATGATTTTTTCCCAGGTGAAGGAAAAGTCCTGAGTTCATAATGTCGGGTACAATTTTTCTACTTGTGTTACGGTGCCTCTGCTGAAAACACACATACAAAATTAAGAATGTGGGATACTTCTATATTTAATGTGTTAAGAGTGTTGATTATGAAAGAAGTTAAATACTGCCAAATGTTTTTTCTTATTTATTGAGATGCTCATATGTTTTTGTCCTTTATTCTGTTGATGTGGTGTATTATATTTATAGATTTGTGTAGGTTGTGCTGTCCTTGCATCCCTTTGATAAATGATTCTTTGAATGTGCTATTGAATTGGTTTGCTAGTATTTAGTTGAAGATTTTGCATCTATGTTCACAAAGAATATTGATCTGTAACTTACTTTCTTGTAGTGTCCTTATCTGGCTTTAATATTGGCATAGTACTGGTCTTGTAAAATAAGTTTGGAAGTATCCCCTCGATTTTTAAATATTTTTGGGACAAAGTTTGAGTAGCATTGGTATTAGTTCTTTAGATGACTTGGAGATTCAGTAGTAAAGTCATAAAGGGCTGGGCTTTTTTTGATGGGAGATATATTATTACCAATTCAATCTTTTTACTCATTATTGATCTGTTCATATATTCCATTTCTTAATGATTCACTCTTTGTTGATTGTGTTTATTCATAAATTCTAGATTATTCAATTAGTTGGTGTATAATTGTTCATATTAGTCTTTTATGAGACTTTACATTGCTAAGATGTCAGTTATAACATCTCATCCTTGTTTTCAGTTATTGGAGTCTTTTTCTCTTCATGAAGTAACATTTTGTCACTTTTGCTCATCTATTAAAAAGCCAACATTAACTTTTATTTAAATTTTTTTTCTGTTCATTTTATGTATTTCTGGTCGGATATTTATTATCTTCTTCCTTTTACTAACTTTGGGCTTAGTTTGTTCTTTTTTCTAGTCCCTTGAAGTGTAAAATTACATTGTTTCTTTGAGATCATTCTTTTTTGATACAGATGTTTATTGCTATAAACTTCCCTCTTATAATTGCTTTTGCTGCATCCTCTATGTTTTGGTATGTCGTGTTTCAATTTTTATTTTTCTCAAGATACATTAAATTTTATTGTTAATTTCATTGACACACTAGTTCAGGAGCATGTTTTTTAATTACTATGTATTCGTGAATTTTTAAAAATTTGATTTCTAGCTTGATACTATTGTATTTGGAAAAGATACTTTAAGTGATTCCAATCTTCATAAATTTGCTAAAAGTTGTTTAGTGGCCCAACGGATCTATCCTAGGGAATCTTCTATGTGTACTTGAGAAAAATGTGTATTCTGCTTCTGTTGCATGCAGTGTTCTCTGTACATGGCTTTTAGGTCCATTTGTCTAAAATGTAGTTTACAATGTTTTATTAATGACTTCCTGTCAGATTGAGCTGTACATTGCTGAAGGTGGAGTATTGAAGTTTCTTACTATTATGTTATAGTCTATATATTCTTTCAGCTCTATTAATATTGGCTTTACATATTTAGGTGCTCAAATTTTGGGTACATATATATTTACAATTGTTATATCTTCTTGATTATTTGACCCTTTTATTATTATAATAATTTAAAGAGACATTCTTTCTGTCTTTTTATGGTTATGACTTAAAGTCTATTTTATCTGATACAGGTGTAGCTAGCCTGGTTTCTTTTGGTTTTCATTTGCATGATATATATTTTTTTTATCCCTTTACCTTCAAATTGTGTGTGTCCTTAAACATGAAGTGAGTTTCTTGTAGGTAGTATATAGTTGAGTCTTTTTTGTTTTTGTTTTATCCATTCAACTACTCTATTTCTTTTGATTGGAACATTTAACCTATTTATATTCAGAGTAATTATTGATACATAAGGACTTATTACTGCCATTTTGTTAATTGCTATTTGACTGTGTTATAGGTCCTTCATCTTGTTTTACTCTCTTTCTGTCTTCTTTTATGGTTGGATGATTTTCTACAGTGTTGTCTTTTGATTCCTTTTTATCTTTTGGATATCTAATATTGAATTTTGCTTTGTGGTAACCATAAGACATACATAAAACATCTCATAGTTGCAATAGGATAGTTCAAACTTATAACTTAACTTTGATCACCTAAAATAACTATGCATCTACTTATCCCACACACATATTTGGTTTTTTGATGTCACAATTTACATCTTTGTATATTGTATATTCCTTGACAAATTATTGTAGCTATTATTTTAATAGTTTTGTCTTTTGACTGTATTTCTAAAGATATAACTGATTTATACACCACCATTACATTATTAGAGTACTTTAAATTTCACTGTGTACTTACTCTCACCACTGAGTTTTATACTTTATTATATTTTTGTTTTACTCTTTAGCATCCTTGTCTTTCAGCTTGAAGAACTCTCTTTAGCATTTGTTGTAAAATAGGTCTGTTGGTAATGAAGTCCCTTAGCGTTCACTTGTCTGGGAGCCTTTAGTGTTCCTTCATTTATAGAGAACAACTGTGATGATTACAGTGTCCTTGGTTGGAAGTGTTTCAGCTTTAGCACTTTGAATATATCATCTTATTCTTCCCTTGCCTATAATGTTTCTGCTAAGAAACTTGCTCGTAGCCTGATTGACTCTTCCTTGTATGTGATTTGCTTCTTTTCTCTTTCTACTTTCAGCGTCTTCTTTTGTCTTTGAATTTTGACAGTTTTATTGTGTCTTGGTGTAATCTTATTTAGAATAAATAATTGGAGACCTTTGGCATGGCTGTACCTGGATATTTATATATTTTCCCAGATTTTGAAAGCCCTTTGCTATCATTTCTTTAAGCAAGCTTTCTACTGTGATGTCTCTCTCTTTCTTAAACTGCTATAACCCCAGAGTTTTCTCTTTAATGTTGTTTTATAAATCTCATAAGATTTCCTCATTCTTTTTTCTCCTCTGAATGTATATTTTTTAGTAACTTGTCTTTGACTTCACATGTTCTCTCATCCATTTGATCAGTCCTGTTGATATTTTCTTTTGCATTTTTATATCATTCATTGTATTTTTCAGCTTCTGAATGTTTTTATATAATTTTAATCTCTCATTAAATTTCTAGTTTTATGTAGTTTCTTGATATCATTAAATTGTTTTTCTGTATTTTATTGAAGTTCACTGAGCTTCCTTAAAAAATTATTTTGCAATCTTTGTCAGGAAGTTTATAAATTTTCATTTCTTTTCAGTGTCAGTTTCTGGTGCTGTAATTAGTCCCTTTGGTAGTATCATGTTTTTCTCATTGTTATTGATCACAAATAGAGACTTATTCTAGTTGTTTCAGAATGACTTTTTCTGAAAAAACCTATCACCAGTCAGCCCTTCTAGAGATACTGGGCAGGTCATCTGATGTGATTCATTGCCAGGCTTGTGGCTGGAGTACTCAGAAAGGAGTCTTAGTACCTGGGTTAGTGGGTGGGTAAGCCTGGCACCTGGGTCATCAGGGTTGAACCAAATACCTGGATTTACCAGAGTAGATACTTTTCATTGTATCCACAGGTGTGGTCCTGGAGCCTAAGTCCCCAAGGATGTGTCTGGAGAATGTATTTGTTGGATCTGGCTTTAAGCCTGGGTCCATAGGGGCTGACCTGGCACTGGGATGGAATTTGACCCTGATTCTGCAGGAGTTGGCCATGTGCTGGGATAGGCTGGTTTCTGGATCCACTGGGATAGACTTAGAGTCTGAGTTTATAGTGGCTGTCCTGGAGCCTGGGTCTGCAGGGAATAGTCCTAGAACCTCAGTGCAGGGGCCGGTTTGGTGCTAGGTCTTCTAGGTTGGGGCTAAATCCTGGGTCTGCTTAAGGAGGCCTGGACCTGGTACTACTGGAGGCTTGTTTCATGGGGACCAACCTGGTGCTAGGGTATTCATGGAGCCTGGATGCACAGAGTTCAATCTACAGCCTAGGATTGTAGGAGCTTGTCTGGTGCCTGGAGACTAGGTCTGTGGAGACCAGCCTGTAATCTGTGTCCTAGAGGCTGCATGTACAGGTACTGGCCTGGAAGTTACATGGGGGCTGGCCTGGGACCTAGGTATTCATGGGTGGTTCTGGGGTCTAGGTCTTGGGGGCTCCCCCACCACTGGGGTCCACTGGCATGGATCTGGACCATGGGTCTGCCGCAGCTTGAGGCCACAGGGGCTGGTGTGGCATTGGGTAGGCCTGGAACCTGTGTCTGCAGATGCCAACCTGGTGTCTGAGGCAAGGGTTTCTGATCTTGTACTGGGGCAGGTTTGAAGCCTGGGGCTCTGTGGACTGACCTTGCTCTGGGCTGGTCTGGAACCAGGGGTGGCCCTGAGGCCTCAGGAACTGTGCTGGTGTTGGGTGGGCCTGGAAGCTCTATTTATAAGGGTTGGCTTGGAAGCTGGATCCACAGGTGCCAGTCTGATAACTATAGTTGAAAGGGCCAGCATGTTATTGGGATGGGCCTGAAGCCTGGGGCTCTGTGGGCCAGCCTGGTGCTGGGGGTGGTCTAGAAACTAGGACCACCAGGACTAGCCTTACCTGGGGGCTGACCTGGTACTGGAGTAGGCCTGGAGGCTCAGTCTGCTGATATTAGATTTTACTGGGAGAGGCCTAGTATTGGGGCCCAAGCAAAGTCTAGTGCTCCACTTTGCTCTCCACTCCCAAGTGGTGGTTATGTCCCTCCTTGCTGTGCTGCCTGGGGCTGGGGGAGGGGTAACACAGGTGATAGCGTTTGGCTGTGTCCCCACCCAAACCTCATCTTGAATTGTAGGTCTCATAATTCCCACATGTTGTGGGAGGGACCCAGTGGAAGATAATTGAATCATTGGCGTGGTTTCATCAATACTATTCTCATGGTAGTAAATAAGTCTCATGAGAACTGGTGGTCTTATAAGGAGAAATCCCTTTTGCTTGGCTCTCTCATTCTCTCTTGCCACTGCCCTGTAAGAAGTGCCTTTCACCTTTGCAATGATAGTGAGGCCTCCCCAGCCACATGGAACTATGAGTCCATTAAACCTATTTTTTTAAATTAATTACCCATTTTGGGGTATGTCTTTATGAGCAGCATGAAAACAGACTAATATAAGGGATAATGTAAATCTATTATTTCTACCCATTTCAATGAATCTTGTTCAGACTTCACCCTTTTCTTGTTCCATCGTCGTCTCCTTCCTGCAACCCAGGGTTTATTTCCTATGAAGTAGCAAGAGTGATTCAAACCCTGAAATGACTTCCCATCTCACTCAAAGTGAAAGCCAAGTTCTGTATTACAACCTATAAGGTCCTAAATTATGACAATCAGTTTACTCATTGGTTTCATTTTCTTCTCTCTCCAATTCTGCAACAGTGCCACAGAGGCATTGGTCAATGTTATGGGGAATTTCAAACCTAAGATGACTCTTTAGTGTTCTTGCAAGTTGAAACAAAGGGGCTGGAATGTTACACCTACCTAAAATTTAAATGAGACTGTGTTGCTAGTGGAATGGTTCCCTTCTGAAGAGCAGGTTATCTATATATGCAGAGGCTATAGTTTCAGGAAGAGGGGTACAAATTCCCCATGTGCTTCAATTGAAGGATGATAAATGGGACACTCATATTTCACAATTCTACTTCTGATCCCATGTATGTTATTTATGGCAAAAAATTACATAATGGTTATTGACTTCAGGGTATAATAAATCCTTGAGAATGATACTTTCATTGTAGAGCTGCTGCTATAGCTGCATATTCAAAATTCCATTTCATTATTAGGAGACCAGAAGACTCTAAGGGTGTCATATAGGATAGGAGTAGTGGATTATATCATAGTTTGACCAATGATGCACTTTCTTTTCTATAAAGTGATTGAACTGCACGAAGAGATGCCATTGTCTTCAGCCTGTTTCAAAAAATGATTTTTTTTCCCCAGATGCTAGGAGTATTGTCCATAGGCAATGTTAAAATGTCAGTCCCTTTTAGAGATAGCCTTCATTACAAAAAGCTTCATATTCAAGGTTGAACACTCGCCAGGACAGTATACACCTACAGTACACAGTACTGGTTGAGGCAGAAGAATAAAGAATTGTGTGTTGGGCTGAACAATACCCCACACATGTATCAGGTTATAATACCTGAAACTAGTAAATGCTACATAATTTGGAAAAAGCTAAAGATGTTTTATGAAAAATATAGTTCTAATAAGCCACAGAAGACTACTTATGAAGATGATTTTAGTTTGGTACACTATTTTATTTTTCTCTCTGGCTTGTCTTATGATTATAGTTGCAATTGTGCTGCTCACATTGCAGAAGGAAGGTCATAAGAGGGAGGATATTTTTCAGACAGGGGTCATGCTATATCAGTTAGATGCGGTTTACAGATTAAAAGTTTTATTTGTGAACACTCAAGCTCTAGTCTAACTAGTTCTGTCATTTTAAGCAGAAGGCTAATTTACTAGTCTTCATAAGACAATAACTTGTGTGGGTTGAAAGCAAATTATTTTTGCTCATTTTCCACAATTAGGTTTGTTTGTTTTTTGTGTTTTTTTAATCTTAGAAGAAATGTAAGGGCACGTTATTAAAAATTTTATTCTACCACACAACAGATGTAACAGTGGATGACACCACCCGCAGAGGACAACACAATAATAATTAAAACAGAAAGTAATACATATCTAATGGCTTTGTATTTGAAAGGATGAAAACATTTTCATGAACATCCAAATTTTTCTCTTTTGAGAAAATACTTAAAAATATTTATAGGTCCAGAGACTCATACATTTACATCTTCTAATGAGAGACAAAATATCTCCATTTTGAGGAAAAGAAACATCATTCAGCAGTCTTGTTTTAAAATGAATGGTTGTTCACTCTCCTGTCACCCTGATCCATGTATTCAATGACTGTTAGAAACGAACTTTATTAGGAAAGTGACAAGAACATTTTTAATGGCTACATACATTCACTTTGCTAGGAGTTCTCAGCGCCTACATCTATAGATACCTACTCTGATAACTATAACAGGGACCAGATATCTGCGTAAAGCTTAGACTTACACTAATTTAACCCTTCATCTTGTAGAGAGTAAAGAGTAGTAAGTTGCTAAGAAAACTGCTTTTGAATCAGGACTGGAGGGTTAGTATCAAAATTGTGGCCCTTAAGAACTGAGTGTTTGTTGTTTTTTTTAACATCTCTCTGTCAAGCTGCCAGGTGTCCAGGTAGTCAAACAGTATAATGAATCAAACTGAACATAATCATCAAGCCTGTTCTTACCGTGGCCATGTAAGGGAGGGACAAAATATGATGTCACTTCCCTCGTGTTCCATTTCTCTGAAAGAGACACTGCTTCCTTGGTTTGAGGGTAGGGAAAGGTGGAGAGTCTGAGTAAAGAGAAGTACTGAGTAAGAATGGAGAAAAGTGTTTAGATAAGGCGGTCTTCACAGGGGCACCTGAAAAGTGCCTGAGCTGAAGCATCCCTTCCCCGATAAGGAATCTCTAAATTGAAGTGCCTGAGCTGGTAATGCAAACATGCCTATGACTATGGATGGCTAAGAGGGACTGAGTCCTGAGTATAACTCTTTTGAGAAAACTGTAAGGCACCACCACGTGTGCTGTGGGAAGGGTAGCTTTCCCTCATGAGGCTTGGAAGGCAAAGCCTTTGCAACTGCCTATAGTCAATCAAATATTTTACATAAGATTTTGCCTGGAGCTGGACCCCTCACTCACAGTCATAATAGGTATTATATATATTCTCAAAAGTTCCACAGCTGAACATTATTAACTTTTATTTCTCTTTCATGTTGATCAGGCAGCAATTTTTTAAATGATAGCATAAGAATCCAGGATTTTTTCACATAATAGCATTGCCAGGACAATAATGTGACTTTTGAGATCACTGTGGAAGGAGAAGAGGAAAAATACAAAATATCACCATCCTCAAGAACTAAGGGTCTGACTTAAAAATGGCATCTGTCATTCCTGGGGGAGCCTTGTTGACAGAACCCAGTCATATGCCTACAAAGACATTTCGGGTAATACAGTTTGTTTTTTTTTCCTGTATTAGAAATAAAAAAAAAACAGATAAAAAATAGTATTGTCTCTACAATATACTCTGAGACTGTTTTCTCATCTTTAAAGATCTATGGTAATGCTTCATCATATTTTGCAAGGATTTAGTAAGAAATTGCTATAAAATTATTGGCATAAATCAGGTATATAATAAGCTGTCAATAAATACTAGGGACAATTATTATTCCCTAAGGACATTTTAGATGTCCTTAGCAAATACCTATTCTTTGACAAACAAGAGGAAAAAGCAGCTCTGATTATTAAAAATGTCATCAGTTGCTCTGCAACTCCACTGAGTGGGGGGAACAGTGAGAAAAAAATGAGAGAGAACAAAACAGAGTAATAAAAGTACAAGCACAACTATTTCAAAAAGAAATTAATATACATCCAATGAATGGAAAATTAGACATAGGTGCACAAGAAAAAAGTGAGAAAAAGAACATGAAAGTATAACAGATGGAAATTTCAAAAAAAATTAAATTGAAAAAATAAACCACCTCATGTTTAGTAACAGGCTTCATGAGAGCCCCTGCTTACAAAAACAAACAAATGAAAATGAAAGATTAGCATGAGTATTATTAAGAGTTGGTTTTGGGAGACAACCCACAGAATGGAAAAAAAATTGCAAACTATGCATTTGACAAAGGTCTAATATCCACAGTCTATAAGGAACTTAACAAGCAAAAATCAATCCCACTAAAAAGTGGACAAGGACATGAACAAACACTTCGCTAAAGAAGATATACATGCAGCCAACAAGTATATGAAAAAGAAATGTTCAACATCAGTAATCATTAGAGAAACACAAATTGAAAACAGTGAAATACCAACTCACATAAGTCAGAATAGCTATTTTATTTTAAAGTCAAAAAATAACAGATGCTGGTGAGGTTGCAGAGAAAGGAAAATGCTTGTACACTTCTGGTGGGAATGTAAATTAGTTAATCACTGCGAAAAGTAGTTTGGAGATTTCTCAAATAACTTAGAACTACCATTCCACCCAGCAATATCATTATTGGATATATACCCAAAGGAATATAAATCATTCTACCATAATGATACGTGGACTTGTATGTTCATCACAGCACTATTCACAATAACAAAGACATGGAATCAACCTAAATGCCCATCAATGGTAGAATGAATAAAGAAAATGTGCTGCATATACACCATGGAATATTATACATCCATAAAAAAGCATGAGATCATGTCCTTGGCAGCAACATGGAGCTGGAGGTTATTACCCTAAGCAAATTAATGCAAGAACACAACACCAAATACCTCATGTTCTCACATGTAAGTGTGGGTTAACAATTGAGTACATATAGACACACAGAAGGGAACAATAGATACTGGGCCTGGAGCAGGGTGGGAAGAGGGTGAGGATTGAAAAGCTACCAATCAGGTACTATGCTTATTACCTGGGTGATAAAATAATCCATACGCAAAATCCCCTCGACATGCAAATTACCTATATAACAAACTTGCATATGTACCCCTGGAACTAAAAGAAAACAACAAAAATAGAGTTAGGTTTGAGTCCAAATATTAACAATCCAGCTGGAGAGGCAAAGTATCACGTTCCTGTCTGTTTTTAGGATAAAGACATTTTTCAGCCTGATGGATGAGAGGTTTCATCTATGAATAGCATGTGGATCACAGAAAGGTTCTGACAAAAATGCCCAAATGCAAATGGTGATGTCTGGGTAAATTAAGATGAAGATGAAGGCCAGGCATGGTGGTTCATGCCTGTAATCCCAGCATTTTGTGAGGCCAAGGTGGGAGGATCACTTGAGGCCAGGAGTTCAAGACCAGCCTGGGAAACACAGCGAAACCCCATCTCTACTAAAAATACAAAAATTAGCCAGGTGTGGTAACATGTGCTTGTAGTCTCAGCTACTCAGGAGGCTGAGGCAGGAGAATTGTTTGTACCCGGGAGGCAGAGGTTGCAGTTAGTCAAAATTCCACCACTGCACTGCAGCCTGGGCAACAGAGCAAGATTCTATCTCAAAATAAATAAATAAATAAAAACAAAAAAAAATGAAGATTAAAATTAGTAGAAAGATAAAAATAGATGAGACATTGAAAATATAGAAAACTCCCTGTTTTAAAAAATGTATTTTTGAAGTTTTGTATCATTATAATTAATAAATATTTTTCCATATTCATTAGCCATGGTAGACCCACATTATTTGGCAATCATTATAGAACACAGTTTCATAATATCAATTAACTATATTCACCTACAAGATAAATTATTAACTATTGCTTTATTAAATCAAATATCAACATATGAAGTATTTTACTATATTTTAAAATGCTGTAAGGACTGGTGCGGTGGCTCATGCCTGTAATCTCAATGCTTTGAGAGGTTGGGGTGGGTACATCACTGAGCCTAGGAGTTTGAGACCAGCCTGGGCAACATGGCAAAACCCCATCTCTACAAAAAATAGACATGGTTGTGTGCATCTATGGTCCCTGCTACTCCAGAGGCTGAGGTGTGAGGATTGCTTGAGTCCCAAAGGTTGAGGCTGCAGTGAGCATGCTACTGCGCTCCAGCCTGGGCACAGAGCAAGACCGTGTCTCAAAAACGGAAAAAAAAAAAAAAGGCTATCAATTGTACATATTTTTAAAGTAAAGATTGATGAAAGTAATGATTATGGTGTTGATATTGACAATAACGACAATGAACAGTTTAAAATACACCCATCTTTACTTCAGTAATTATCTGATGATTTCCATTCTGTTTAAATAATAATGAAAACAGGTGATGGTGATCATACTGAATAGCAAAGACATGTTTGCTGGAGCAGATTTTTTTCTGTGTGTCTTCCCAGTCTTTCCAATTTCCAGGAACTCTGTCTGAAGGCACAGACATCCATTCCAAACTTCTAACTTACCTCTAAAACATGAAGTTCTCATCTTAACATTTGATCTCTTCCTTTTCCTTGAGAATTTTTGGATATATTATCTCTTTATGTCTGAGATAAAAATGAAAGTAACATATTTCATTACGGGTCAATTAAATAAGGACAGGTGTTTGAACTAATATCGTTTACAGGGGACTATTGCCTGGATCACCTGTACACTGCCCCCGCACTGGTGTATAAAGCAGTCTTTGTGCATATCCTCTCTTCTCTTGTTGCTGCACGTCAAATAGTCTCTAAGAATTGTCCTCCCCAAAACAGTGCTGTAGTGAGTTTTTGGACCAATATGTAATTTTAATTTGAGTTATATTTTCACCATATATTCTCACAGGAAACATGATGACCACTGATAATAAAAGAAAACGCATGAATAAGGCATATGAACATGAAGATAATTCACCAAGATCAGTTTTGCCAGCTCTGATAATTACATTTACATAATCAAAAATTTTATGTAGAACATGAAGATGTCTCTAGCACTTTAAAATCCAATATTAAGTAGAAAATATAGTAATTATATTTTCATCCACAGTTTGTAAGAAATACAAATAGCAAATGGAAACTTTTTCTCTTATTAACTGAAAGTAAAGCATGAAAATTATAAAAACTAACCAGGCCAGGCATGGTGGCTCACAACTGTAATCCCAGCACTTTGGGAGACCGAGGTGGATGGATCACTTGAGCTTAAGAGTTTGAGACCGGCCTGGGCATCATGGCATAATCCTGTCTCTACAAAAAAATGCCAAAATTAGCTGGGCATGGTGACATGCCCTATGGTCCCAGCTACTCGGGAAGCTGAGGTGGGAGGATCACTTGAGCCCAGGAGGCAGAGGTTGCAGTGAGGTGAGATTACACCACTGCACTCCAGCCTGGGCAACAGAGCCAGACCCTGTCTCAAAACAAAACAAAACAAAAAAAACATTTTTATGAGTACAATATATCATGTTATAAAAACCATGCTTAAATCTGTTTTTGGTATAGCACCATATAAAGTTCAATCTTTAGTGTTTGATCACCAAACTGAACATGATATATTCTTTCTGATTCCAACTTTATCATCTTTGCAGATGTAGTATTTAAAATGATATAATACGTTAAAAGTAACATACAAATGTATACATATGCTTTAAAATTATTATAGGTCAGAAGTTTTCATGTGGGGTTGAAGTGCTTTAAATTTGAAATTACTAACCACTAAGAATTTTTATATTTGCCAACATTTATTCATTCTGTTGTTTTCATTCCTGCCAGTATATTGGAGTTTCCATTTGGTATAAAATACCTTTTATTATGTTCTGTAGCATACACCTTCTGACAACAAAAGCTCTCAGATTTATACTTCTGAAAATATATATCCTTTAGCCTGATTTTTGAAGGATACATTCACTGGAAATAGAAATCAGGATTTTTTTTAACACTATAAAGATATCATTTATTTTGTGCTGTCATTGTTTTTGATGATAAATCAGTATAATTCATATCCCCTATGTCTCCTGTTCATAATATGTCTTTTAACTCCGGGTCTTTCTGAAATTTTTCTTTAACTTTACTATTTAGAAATTGTATTATGACATGCCTAGGTTTAACTCTCATTGTATTTATTCAGATAAGGGTTGACTGCAATTCTTTCACCTGTAATTTGAAATTTTAATCAAAAGTTAAAAGTCTTTGGCCCATTCTCCCTCCGTCCCTACCTCCATTTTCCTTCCTCCATTTTCCTTCCTTCTCTTCCTCTGCCTCCTCCTCCTCCTCCTCCTTTCTTTTTTTGTCTCATTCTGGGATTCTTATTGTTAAATAAAGATCATTAGGTCTTCCAGAAGGAAAAAAAATAGAGCTTTATTTTCTGAAAACAACAACAAAAATCAATTTGTGGATTAGGCGGATACAACCCCTGGTGTAAACAAAAGTGTGTTCTGGAGAACAAATAGGGGGTCTGGCTTAAATAGGGAAAGTTCCCACATCAGTCCTCAGGGACGTCTGTATATGCAAATAAATAATTCAAACTCATTCAATCCATTTAGCTTAAAACAGCTAAGTCCCAATTGGGTAGTTTCCAAATCTCAAACCATAAGTCTCTATTGGATGTCCCTTTGAAGCAGATGGTGGAAGGAATTTTCTAGCCAGAGAGTCTGAGCTCCACTTTAGTTACAGAAACCATCTTAGCTCAGAGGTGCAAAAGGGATATTTGTCTGGAGCATCCTGCTCCAAGAACAAAGTGGGCAGGACCAACTTTCTTTCATTCACCATGACCGCTGGGTTAGTTTCACTTCATAGCATAATTAAGTATATCAGACACTTTTTAAAATGTCCCAAAGATCTCTGAGGCTCTATTTATTTTTCCTATTTTTTTTTATTTTTTTCAGATTGGATATTTTGTTTTAAACTGTCTTCAAATTTCCTGACTTTTACCATTTCCCATCTGCTGTTAAACCCCTTAAATTGTTATTTTAATTTTCTGTTCTGCAATTCCATTTTGAATTTCATTTGTTTCATTGTTATGCTGAAATCCCTGACCTATATGATAAAATTATATTACATTTAATTTGATATTTATTAATTTTTTAAATATATAAATAATAGTTGCTTTAAAGCTTTTTCTGCTAAATGCAATGTTGTTTCTTACATGATTTGATAATTTGATTAAATATTAGAAACTATAAATATTACACACATTCTGGATTGTATTATTGTCCTTGATTAGCACTGTGACTTGTTTGTTCTAGTGAAGTATTCGCCTTGCCTAGAGATTTTGCCTTGTCCTTCCAGATAAGAGTGTATCAGCTTGAGAGTGCAAGAGGGGAGATGGAGCAAGATGGAAGAATAGAAGAAGACTCTACTGCTTGTCCCCCTGACAAGGACACCAATGGCACAAAAAAGCACCTTTGTGAGAAACAAAAATCAGGTGAGCACTTGTAGTACCTGGTTTTAACTTTGTATTGCAGAAAGAGGCAGAAAAAACAGTGTTGAATTGCTGGTGCCATGCCTCCCCTATCCCCAAGCAGAGGTATTCTGGTACTGACAGCATTTCTGTGCACGGGGGAAAGGAGAGCAGAGTAATTGTGAGGCATTGAACTCACTGCTGTCCTGTTATAGCAGAAAAGGAAAACCGGATCAATCCTGGCTGACACCCACCTACGGAAGGAGCATTTGAACCAAAAGGAGAATCGCCAATCCCAGGGGTTGGAACGTGAGTTCCTGCAAGCCTCGCCATCATGGTCCAAAGAGCTCCTGGGGCTCTAAATAAACTTGAAAAGCAATCTAGGCCACAAGGACTGCAACTCCTAGAAGAGTCCTAGTGCTGAACTTGACCCAGAGACAGGGGACTAGCGGGGAACATGACCTACTGAGACACCAGCCCACACAACTAAGAGAGTGCTGGCATTACCCCTCTCCTAATCACAGGCTGCACAGCTCACAGCTCCAAAAGAGACTCCTTCCTTCTGCTTGAAGAGAAAAGAGGAAAGAGTGGGGAGAATTTGTCCTGCATCTTGGATACGAGCTGAGCCACAGTGGCATAGGGTATGGGTCAGCGTCATAAGGCCTCCTTTCCAGGCCTTAGCTCCTGGATGACATATTTAGATGCATCCTGCGCCCAGAGGGAACTCACTATCCTGAAGGGAAGGACCCCTTCCTGGCAGCATTCATCAGCTGCTAATTGAAGAAACTTTGAGCCATGAATAACCAGCAGCCATCGTCAGGTACTATGTCAAGGGCAGTGGGTGAAACCCTGAGACTTGTAGGCTTCAGGTGAGACTCAGCACATCTCCAGCTGTAGTGTCAAGACCGCTGCTTCTTGAGAAAAGCAGAGAGAAAAGTAAAGGGGACTTTGTCTTGCACTGTAGGTACCAGCTTGGCCACTGGGGGTAGAACACCAAGCAAACTCTTGGAGCCCCCGATTACAGCACTTAGCTCTTGGAGGCATTTCTGGACCTGCTCTGTGCCTGAGAGGAGCCCGTTTCCCTGATGGGTGAGTCACAGGCCAAGCAGCATTCGCCACAAGCTGACTTAAAAGACCTTAGTTCTTAATAGAACATTGGCAATAGTTTGGCAGTATTCCCAGTGGGCCTGTGGTGGTGGCAGCCTTGAGGTAAGGCTGCCTTTGAAAAGGAGGAGGGAAGAGTCACAAGGATTGAGTATTGTGGTTTGAATGCCAGCTCAGCCACAGGACAATAGAACACCAGGTAGAATTCTAACGTTTTTAACTCTAGGTTCTGGCTTCCAGATGGCACCTGTAGACCCACCCAAGTCCTGGGGAAATTGCCACATGCAGGGAAAGACACAGGCCTGGCTGGCATGGCCAGCTGATGATTATAGAGCCCCTGGGCCTTCAGTGAACATAGACAGCAGCTAGGAGTGGTAATGCAGGCTCTGGGTGAGACCCAGTACTGTGCTGGCTTCAGGTTGGCCACAGCACGGTCATAGTGGTGGTGGTCACAGGGGTGTTTGTTTTACTCTACCCCCAGCTTCAGGTGACTCAGAAAGAGAAATTCTGTTTGTTTGGGAGAAAGTAAGAGAAGAGAACAAGAGCCTCTGTCTGTTAATGCAGAGAATTCTGGATCTTGTCCAAGACTATAAAGGTGGTACCTCTACGAATGTGCAAGAACCTCAGTGTTACTGGGATTGGGGTGCTTCTGAATGGAGATAACAACTTACATCACAACACCCAAGTCCTTTTAAATGTCAGGAAATCTTTCCCAAGAAGGATGAGTACAAACAAGGCCAGACTGCAAAGATTATAATAAATGCCCAAGTTTTCAGTGGCCAAACCTAGACAAACTTACAAGTATCAAGACAATCCAGGAAAATATGTTCTTACCAAATGAACTAAATAAGGCACCAGGGACCAATCTTGGAGAAACAGCAACATGTGACCTTTCTGACGGAGAATTCAAAATAGGTATTTTGAGGAAAATCAAAGGAATTCAAGATAACACAGAAGAAATGCAGAATTCTATTCGATGAATTTAACACCATTCCTCTCCTGCAAGAAGTGATAAAGGCAGTATTTCAATCAGAAAGAAAAGGAGTTTAGTGAGCCATAAGTAATCACCTAAAGATACCAAATTCACTAGTAATAGTAAAGAAACAGAAAAACACTGAATATTATTACACTCTAACCGTGGTGTGTAAACTACTCTTATCCTACCTAGGTAGAAAAACTAGATGGAGAACCAGTCAAAAATAACTACAACTTTTCAAGACATAGTACAATAAAATAGAAACAAAAACAACAAAATGTTACAAAGCAGGAGGATGAAGTTAAGGCATAGAGAACTAATGAAGATTAGTTTTCTTTTTGTTTATTTGAACAACGTTAACTTGTTATCAGTTTAAAATAATGGTTTATAAGACAGTATTTGCAAGCCTCCTGCTAACCTCAAACCAAAAAAACCATACAACAGATTCACAAAAAATAAAAAGCAAGAAACTAAATCATATCACCTGAGAAAATCACCTTACTAAAGGAAAACAGGAAGGAAAAAGGAAAGAAGAGAAGAATACAAATCAACCAGAAAACAAATAACAAAATGGGAGGAGTAAATCTTTATTTATCAATAATAACATTGAATGTAAATCGACTAAACTTTCCAATCAAAAAACATAGAGTGGCTGAATGAATGGAAAGAAAACTAATTTATCTGTGTCCTACAAGAAACACACTTCAGCTATGAAGATACATGTAGACTGAAAATAGAGGGATGGAAAAACATATTGTATGCCAATGGAAACCAAAAAGGAGCAGGAGTCACCATACTTGTATTAGAAAAAATAGGTTTCAAGTCAAAAACTATAAGAAAAAACAAAGAAGGTCACTATATAATGATAAAGGGGTCAATTTCATAGGAGAATATAACAATTTTACATATATATGCACCCATCACTGGAGCATCCAGATGTATAAAGCAAATATTATTAGAGCTAAAGAGAGAGATAGGCCTCAATACAATAATAGATGGAGACTTCACCCCACTATCACCACTGGGGTGACAATCCAGAAAATCCACAATAAAACATCAAGCTTAATCTGCACTATACATCAAATGGATCTAATATTTACAAAACATTTCATCCAAAAGCTGAGAATACACATTCTTTTCCTCAGCACGTAGATCATTCTCAAGGATAGACCACATGTTAGGTCACAAAACAAGTCTTAAAATATTCAAAATAAATTGAAATAATATCAAGCATCTCCTGCTACAGTGGAATAAAACTAGAAATCAATAATGAGGAATTTGGGGAACTATACAAATACATGCACATTAAACTATATGCTCCTGAGTAAAGAATTAAGAAAATCAAAACATTTTTCAAATAAATGATAGTGAAAACACAACATACCAAAACCTATAGAATCCAGCAAAAGCGGTACTAAGAGGGAATTTTATTGCCATAAGTGCCTACATCAAAAAAAAACTTCAAATAAACAACTTAATGGTACATCTTAAATAACCAGAAAATCAAGAACAACATAAACCCAGTATTAGTAGAAGAAAAGAAATAATAATGATCAGCGCAGAAATAAAATGAAGAAGATACAAAAGATCAACATAACAAAAAGTTGTTTTTTTGAAAAGTGAAACAAAACTAACAAGCCTTTAATTAGTTAGACTAAAAAGAGAGGGAGAGAGGATCCAAATAAATAAAATCAGAGGTGAAAAAGGAGACATTACAACTGATACGTCAGAATTTCAAAGGGTCATTAGTGGCTAATATGAGCAACTATATTACAATAAACCGGAATCCTGGACGAAATGGACAAATTCCTAGACACATACAACCTATTAAGATTGAACCAGGAAGAAATCCAAAACCTGAAGAAACTAATAACAAGTAATGGGACTGAAGCCTTAAAAGTCTCCCAGTAAAGAAAAGCCTGGAACCCTATGGCTTCACTGATGAATTCTACCAAATATTTAAAGAAGAACTAATACCAAACCTAGTCAAAGTATTCTAAAAAATAGAGAAGGAGGAAATACCTCCAAACTCATTCCTAAAGGCCAGTGTTACCCTGATACCAAAACTAAACGCAAATCAAAAAAGGAAACTACATGCCAATATCTATGATGAATATTGACAAAAAAAATCCTCAACAAAATACTAGCAAACTGAATTTCACAATACATTAAAAATAACATCTATCGGCCAGCCACTGTGGCTCACGCCTGTAATCCCAGCACTTTGGGAAGCCAAGGTGGGCGGATCACAAAGTCAGGAGTTTGATACCAGCCTGACCAACATGGTGAAACCCCATCTCTAGTAAAAATACAAAAATTAGCTGGGCGTGGTGGCACAGGCCTGTAACCCCAGCTACTCAGGAGGCTGAGGCAGGAGAATCACTTGAACTCAGGAGCTGGAAGTTGCAGCGAGCCAAGATCACGCCACTGCACTCCAGCCTGGGTGACAGAGTGACACTCTGTCTGAAAAAGAAAAAAATAAAATAAAAAACAAATAACATTCATCATGACCAAGTGGGGTTTATTTCTGGAATGGAAAGTTGCTTTAACATATGCAAATTAATCAATGTAATACATCATATTAAAATAATATAGGACAAAAACCTTATTGTTTCAATTGATGCTGGAAAAGCATTTGATGAAATCCAACTTCTCTTCATGATCAAAAACCCTAAAAAAGCTGGATATGGAACAAACATACTTCAACATAATCAAAACTATATATTACAGACACATAACTAGTATCATAATGAATGGGAAGAAAATGAAAGCCTTTCCTCTAAGATCTGGAACAAGATAAGGATGCTCACTGTCACTACTGTTATTCAGCATAGTACTAGAAGTCATAGCTAGAGCATTCAGACAAGAGAAAAATATATAAAAGGCATCCACATTGGAAAAGAAGAAATCAAATTATCCTCGTTTGCAGATGATATGATCTTATATTTGGAAAAACCTATAGATTTCCCAGGAAAACTGGTAGAATTTAGTAAAGTTGCAAGATACAAAATCAACATTAAAAAATCAGTAGCATTTCTATATGCCAACAGCAAACAGTGTAAAAAATTTTTAAAAAGTTATGCCACATACAATAATGACACATAAAATAACTACCTAGGAATTAACCAAAGAAGAGAAAAATCTCTATGATGGAAACTATAAAACCTTGACAAAAGAAGTTGAAGAGGATACCAAAAAAGGTCAAATATACATGTTCATGCATTAGAAGAATCTATATTCTTCAAATATTCATACTACCTGAGGCCATCTAGAGATTCAGTGCAATCCCTGACAAAATACCAACAACAATCTTCACAGAAATAGAAAAAAAAAACACTATAATTTATATGGAGCCAAAAAAGACCCAGAATAGCCAAAGCTATCCTAAGCAAAAAGAACAAAACTGGAGGAATCACATTACCTCACTTCAAATTATGCTACAGAGCTATAGTAATCCAAATGGCATGGTACTGGCATTAAAAAAAGACACATAGACCAATGGAACAGAATAGAAAATCCAGAAATAAATCCATACACCTACAGTGAACTCATTTTTGACAAAGGTACCAAGAACATACAGTGGGGAAAAGTCAGTCTCTTCAATAAATGGTGCTGGGAAAACTGTATATTCATATGTAAAAAGAAAGAAAGTAGGCCCCTACATCTCACCATATACAAAAATCAAAATAAAATAGATTAAAAGTCTTAAATCTGAGACCTCAAACTGTGAAACTACTACAAGGAAACATTGGGGAAGATCTCCAAGATAATGGTCTGGGCAATAATTTCTTGAGTAATGCCTCACAAGCTCAGGCAACCTAACCAAAATGGACAAATATGATCCCATCAAATTAAAAAGCTTTTGCACAGTGAAGCAAACTATGAAGAAAGCCAAGAGACAACCCACAAAATGGAAGAAAATATTTGGAAACTACCCATCTGACAAGGAATATATAATAACCAAAATATATAAGGATCTCAAAGAACTCTATAGGAAAAAAATCTAGTAATCTGATCAAAAAATGGGCTAAATATTTGAATAGACATTTCTCAAAAGAAAACATACAAATGGCAAACAGATATATGAATAGATGCTCAACATCACTGAAATGCAAATCAAAGCTATAATGAAATATCTCACTCCATTTAAAATGGCTTATATCCAAAAGACAGGCAATAACAAATGCTGGCAAGGCTGTGGAGAAAAGGAAACCACCTTACTCTGTTGATGAGAATGTAAATTGGTACAACCACTATGGAGAACAGTGTGGAGGTTCCTCAAAATACTAAAAGTAGAGCTATCATATAATCCAGCAATCCCACTGCTGGATATGTACCCAAAGAAAAGAAAATCAGTATGTCAAGGAGATGGCTGCATTCTCATGTTTGTTGCAGCTTTGTTCACAATAGCCAAGATTTGGAAGCAACCTAAATGTCCATCATAGATGAATGGATAAGGAAAACTTGTTACTTATGCACAATGGATTACTATTCAGCCATAAAAAAGAACGAGATCCTTTCATTTGCAACAACATGAATAGAGGTGGAGGTCATTTTTTTAAGTGAAATAAACCAGGCATAGAAAGACAAACATCTCATCTTCTCACTTATGTTGGGGATCTAAAAATCAAAACAATTGAACTCGTAGAGATAAGAGAGTTGAACAATGGTTACCAGGTCTGGGAAGTATAGTGGGAGCATTGAGGTGGGCGTGTGGATGGATGGTCAATGGGTACAAAAAAAAATAGAATGAATAAGAGCTAGTATTTGATAGCACAACAGGGTGGCTATAGTCAATAATAATTTAATTGTACATTGTAAAATAACTAAGAATATAATAGAATTGTTTGTAACACAGAGAATGAATACTTAAGGGGATGAATACCCCATTCTCTATGAGCTGAATATTATGCATTGCATGCCTGTGTCAAAACATCTTGTGTACCCTATAAATGTATACAACTACTATGTACCAAATTAAATTAAAGTTTTTAATTTTTTTTTATCAGTTTAACATCTGGAAGGGATGAAGAGAAGTCAGCTTTGTGGCGATCAACAATGTCCACACTACTGGCAACCAATGCTCAGGTGAGTATTTTTAATTGACAATACTCTGTGCATTTTGTCATACATCATTGCTGGGAGAAATATGTAGAGGACATTTTCTTCATCCAGATATTGTAATACTTACTATTGAGATCTCTAGCATCATTAAAATGCTTTGTAGTGGCTGTCTGCTGCAGTTCAGCAATCAGAGTAGAAACTTTGGCAAAATCCTGAATTTAATTTATAAAAATGGTGATCCAGAGTGGCAACAGTTAAATCATAGCTGTTAAACATCAGAGACATGGTACAGATGGTAATTACATTGGATAGTAGATCTGGAGGTATAACCAAATTTATGTGACCTGTGCGTAGTGTTTGGTGAGGCTAAATAAGCCATAGTGTTCCTATTGCTGAAATAAATAGTCATCTAAATACTTACTTGATCTGTGATTGAGCTTAAAAAAATAATTTCTCTACCTCTTAGAAAAGATAATTCATCCACCCCAAAATAGAGCATAGTATCAATCCAATTTCTAGAACTAAAACAGTGAGTAGATTTAAAGCTCCTTAATAAAAAGGATACTTGTATCCCTAAAGGGAGATCTTTAAAAGACTTTAATAAATACTTACCATAAATATTCTCCTAGGTGTTTTGCTTTTTTTTTTTAGACGGAGTCTCGCTCTTTTGCCCAGGCTGGAGTGCGGTGGCGCAATCTCGGCTCACTGCAAGCTCCGCCTCCCAGGTTCACGCCCTTCTCCTGCCTCAGCCTCCTAAGTAGCTGGGACTACAGGCGCCCGCCACCACCCCCGGCTAATTTTTTTTTTTGTATTTTTAGTAGAGACGGGGTTTCACCGTGTGAGCCAGGATGATCTCAATCTCCTGATCTCGTGATCCGCCCGCCTTGGCCTCCCAAAGTGCTGGGATTACAGGCTTGAGCCACCGCGCCCAGCCCCTCCTAGGTTTTTAAACAATGATCTGTAGCTACTAGTTGGATTATTGTACATCAAGAGAAAGAAATGCATTGCAAATTCTCATAGATCAAAATTGTGATCAGTCAGCATGGGGGCTTATAAACATGATGGATAAGTAAAGTTAGTAAAGTTCTTTTCTCTCTCTCTTTTTTTTTTTTTTAGCTCAACTGATTATATTAAAAAACTCACTGAGCTGATACCCTGTGATTATCACTCTAGGACATGGATACATATGGATATATACATTATCAACAACATATTACATTGTTGAAAATGAAAGGACACTAGATAGCAACCCAAAGCTGTATAAAGAAATAATATCTTCAGTAAAGATAACTACATGGGAAAATATAAAATCCAGTGTTTTCTATTTTTTATTTGTAGCTCTACTTTTTAATTTCCTACACAGATTTAAACAAAAATGCATAAAATTATAATTCTAAGTTTATTGAGCAAACAATATAAAAAGAGGTAATTTGTGACAAAAACAATATAAAAGGGAAGATGTGGCTTTACTGGATCAAGTTTTATAGGCTATGGAATCAAATTTGATACCAACCTACATTGTAATAAAAATGTACATATAAGAAAATGAGAAGGGAACCAAAATGGGTCATTACAAAACAATACACTAAATACAAAGGAAAGCAGTAATGGGGAAAATGGCCAAAAAGATATAAAATATAGATAAAACAAATAGCAAAATGGCAGAAGTAATTCTTTCTTCATTAGTAATCACTTGAAATGACAGTGGATTAAACTCTTCAATCAAAAGGCAAAGCTTAGAACAGAGAACATCATCCAGTTGTATACCGTAGGAGACTCACCTTAGATCAAAAGACAAATATTGGTTAAAAGCAAAAGTACAGAAAAAGATAACCCATGCAAATAGTAACCAAGAGAGGTAGAGTGGCTATACTGGTACCACAAACAGAGATTTTAAGTCAAGAAGTGTCATAAGAGACAAAGGACATTTCATATTGATAAAGGGATCAAATCAAGAAGCTGTAACAATTATGGTCATACATACACCAAACATAGCCACAAAATGCATGATGCAAACACTGACAGAATTGAAGAGAGAAAAGTCAGCTCTATGATAACAGAGACTTCAATACTTTCCATAATGGACAGATCATCTGGACAGAAAATTAGTAAGGAGATAGAGGACTTAAACAATACTATAAATCAAGTAAGCCTAACAGACATAAAACACTCTAGTCAACAACAGCAGAATATGCTTTCTCCTCAGTGCACATGGAACATTCCCTAGGAAAGATAATATGCTATAAATATGACCCAGCAATTCAACTCCTAGCCTATGTATATAATCAAAATAATAGAAAGCAGAGATTCAAACATTTACCTGTGTGCTGGTGTTCACTGCAGCATTACTCATAACGGCCCAAAGGTGGAAGCAACTTGTGTCCATCAACAGATGAATGGATAAACAAAATGAGTTATATACACACAATGGAATAATATTCAATCATAAAAATAAATGAAATTCTGATGCACACTATAACATGGATCCATCTTGAAAACATGCTGCATAAAATAAGGCAGACACAAAAGAATAAATATTGTATGATAATACTTTTGTGAAATATCTAGAATAGACCAATTCACACAAAGAGTAGATTAGAGTTTATCAGCAGCTAGGGGAAGAAGAGTGGGGAGTTATTGTTTAATTAGTTAGTACAGAGTTTGTTTGGGGTGTTGAAAAATATTTAATAAGAGATAGTTGTGATGGTTGCAAAATATTGTGAGTATAACTGATGCTATAGACTTGTACACTAAAAATGGTTAAAATGGTAATTTTTAGTGTGTATACATATAAAACCACAATAAAATAAAATAAGAGGTACTTAAAATATTACACTACCTACTACTAAGACATGGGCACATTTTTAGTAAGATTCTAGATTATAGAGGGAACATATAATTCCTATGTATGTGCTGCTTTGATTGATTAAATAGTAGGGTTGCGAGTTTTAAATGATGCCACAAGCCAGATAAAGATCTACAGCTGTTCTAGTTTGTAGGAGCAAGCTGTTTTGCCACTTGGTATTTATGACCCAGCTGATTAAATAGTGTCCTAAATATTTGGGGCATATCAGATGCTCTAGGGACATTTAGGCAAGTCCCTGTCAGATTCACAACGCTTGCTCTTTGCCCAGTGTGAAGCAAAGCCATGCCTTCTTCTAAAAATAAGTATTTTTGTGTGTATAGATAAATGATAGTTTTATTCAACCATCTTCACACTAGGATTGGACTGAAAAAACATGAAAGTAGAATCTGCAGAAGGAAATAAGTTTACTACATAAGAAATGGCCTATACAAATATAAGCTTATGCTATGTAAGGAGTACAGAATTAACTGTGCTCTCTGCTTTTATTTGCATTTGTAAACATGTGCAGACCAAAGACTATTCTAGGATTAGAAAGGTTGTTTCTGGAGCCTTGACCTTGTAAGAGAAAAGGCTCCAAGTTGTTGTTCTACCTTTTTATTCATGTTTAAGATCTTTTTAAAAATCTCATAAGTTACATTTCTAAAGAACTTAAGCAATTAATGAAAGAATGTCACTTGGTAGAACTATATTATCTATATACAGTTTTAAAATGTGTTATCTAAAATAGCTTAAAGAACAGAATATTCTGAGTAAACATTCTAGTTAAAATGGAGTTGCGATGCAAGTTTATATAGACTAAATTTTCAAAGGATTAGACTATAAGAAGTAACATATTAACCATGGTCATTTGCTGAAATCACATAGATAATGTATCAGCATTCTGGATTTATATACCACTTTTATACATTATGAGCCTGGATAAGGTTAAGTTCATCCCTGAATGGCTTCATTCTCTATGTTGACAAAATTGGAAACTAAATAGCTCAAGTTCAGACACTGATGACTTCTTCAGTTTTCTATTTGTGAAACACGTCCTGCTTTGCTACTAGGACATAACAGGGAATGAAAGTTGACCATAAAATGCAAGTGACCATGTAACTTGAGTTACCAAAATGAAATAGTATTATCTAACCCACCAAACCATAAAGTTGTTTTGCAGTACTCCATCCATAATTGGAAGTTGTATATATGAGAGATTCAAAATGTCCCAGAAGTGAGAGTAATTTATATGAGCAGGTGTTTTAGACTAAATCGTGTCTGTTCCTGCTACATTCACTCATTTTTCTGTCAATCCACTCATATAGTTTCATGAAACTATTTCTATGACTAGCTGTTTGAATAACAAAAGCTCAGTTCACACACACTGGCAGCAAATGGAAGGGTACTGGTATAACATTATAGTCCCATTCAGGAATAAGGAGTATGGTTTGACCACTGGGAAAGGGCACAAATATAGAAGATCCTCATTAATAAGATGAACAAGATATCCTGGCATATGGATATCTTTCCATTCTTTTTCTAGTTAAACAGATCTTATTCAATAGACTTAAGAAAAAAGTGATCACAGTTGCAGAAATAATGAGCATTGACTTGTCAACATGGAATTCCTTTCATTAGGCAGATCTGGTTATTGCTACTGCTGAGTTCCAACATGGCAGCATCAGAGACCAATACTTAATCCAATATGGCAACATTCAGTAGGATTTTTTTTTTAAGTCTCCTAGTGGCAAGTCAATTACATTTTTCCCTTTCTGTGATGATGATAATGACAACAGTTTTGTCACTAGAACTGGCAATTATCCTGGATATGAATTTGGTTTTCTTGACTGTCAGATACAGTTTTGCTAAACACCAAAATGTAATCTTACAAAGTGCCTTACTCACTATCATGGTTTAAATTATATCTTTGATTGTGATTAAGAATGTATTTTACCACCAAATATTGCGACAATATGCATACACCAATAAAGTTCACAGATATTACTACATTTCAGATCACTGAGAAATGGTGAGAATGGTGGAATACTGAAGTCTTGCTGACAGACCAGGAGGGAGACAACGTGAAAGTTTGCAATGCTATGCTTCAAGATGTGCAGCATTTTGAACAGTAATCAATATATTGTACAGGTCCAGGAATTAGTGAAGTTTGACTAATCGCTTACATTACTGCCCAATAACACAATTGCAAACATTTTTCCTCCCATCCTTGACTGTTGACTTGTGCATTCCTGTTGCCAGCAGAGAATTGCTTTCATCATTCTGCAAAATAGAATCATTCTATTTCTACTGAATTGGAATTTGAGACCGATAACTAGTTGATTTGGTCTCTCTGGGACACTGAAACAATTGGCAAGACACTGTGTCCTTTGGGGCAGGGATCCCCAACCCCCTGGCCATGGACCGGTATCAGTCTATGTCCTGTTAGGAACCAGGTCATACAGCAGGAAGTGAGCAGCCACTAGTGAGCATTACTACCTGAGCTCCACCTCCTGTCACATCAGCAGTGGCATTAGATTCTCATAGGAGCGGGAACCCTGGTGTGAACTGTGCATGCAAGAGATCTAGGTTGCACACTTTTATGAGAATCTAATTCTAATGACTGATGATCTGAAGTGGATTAGTTTCATCCTGAAAACATCCCCACCCATCCCCCCGCAACGCTCTCTGTGGAAAAATTGTCTTCCATGAAACCGATTCCTGGTACCCAAAAGGTTGGGGACTACTGCTTTGCTTTGGAGTATTAAAGTAGGGGCAGTCCTTCATAATGAGGATGAGGAAAATGTCTGGAATCCAGGGAGAGCACCTTTTCCTTTTCTCATAGTCAGTAGTAATGGAAGTAATGGAGGTAGTAATTAATGAAAGACTATTAGGAATCCAGGCCTTAATAAATCAGACCCTTGAAACATTAGGTTTGTGGTCATTTTTTAAAATAACAAATTAGCTGAGGACTGTAGACAAAAGCAAATTTTTTTTTTTGAGATGGAGTCTTACTCAATCGCCCAGGCTGGAGTGCAGTGGCAGAATCTCTGCTCACTGCAACCTCTGCCTCCCAGGTTCAAACAGTTCTCCTGCCTCAGCTTCCCGAGTAGCTGGGATTACAGGCATGCACCACCACGCCCAGCTAATTTTTGCATTTTTAGTGGAGAAGGGGTTTTACCATGTTGGCCAGGCTGGTCTCAAACTCCTGACCTCAAGTGATCCACCCACCTCAGCCTCCCAAAGTGCTGGGATTACAGGTATGAGTCACTGTTCCTGGCCGAGAAAAGCAATTTTAGTCACAAACAATCATGGCTGCATTAACAACTTCAAACAAGGTCTATAGTAACTGAGCATATTTTCTTCTAAGTTTTTAGGCATACATTTCTATAATATCAATTTTTTTCTTCCCCCTGCTATTTTCTATAAGGTGTGTTAGTGGTACTTACAAATAATACCTTCTAGTAAATCAAAGGAGGTTTCTGACTGAAAAGGGGGTAAAATAAACAGCATACTCGGGTGAAAACAGTGATTATGTTACGGTCTCTCCTTTTTCAGAGAATATATCTTAGTTTGCATAAGGCATAATTTCACCTGCTTATAAAGAACACCACTCCAGTTGACATTGTTCTTTTAAATTGAATATTGACAAGAAACTGGGGATGGATGCTTGATAGTGAATGAGGTAGCAGGCCAGATTGTCTTTGCCAGTGTCCTCCTATCACAGGGCTGGGATGCTAGGAAACTAACCAGTGTGTAAACTAACACTTTACAAACCCTGCTAGCAGAATTTCAAATTGAAAATTGCCAAGTAAAGCCATTCCTTACAAGATTTGAAAGATACAAAACAAGCCTGATGTGGCATTGGCAAGCATGTGAAGGCTTCAGCAGACATCATGAAAGAATTTTTTTTTTGCCAGTAGCTTTGAGTATCCTCTGGCAAATCATCCCTTTTTGGTGCTACAGACAGTTGAGTTCATCAGAAGTAGTTTCTACCATTTCTAAATTCCTGAATGCTAGATGTTACTTGCTTTACCTTTCTTACTCTTTTATCTTCAACCCGTCTGTCCTTCCGAAAGTTTTATAAGCCTCTAACTTTCTGATTTAAATCCCTTTCCACTCAGAAAACTAGATTCAATCCCTTTCTACATACAAAACTAGACTGCATTCATAATGGATCCATACTAAAATGTGTTCTTCACAGACTATTTTAAAAGATAATTACTTCTCCTTCCAATAAAGAAATTGTAGGACCATAGTTACCTTCATTCCAAGTACCCTCATAATTAATATGTAGGGTGAAAATGCAGTAAGTAAAAAATAGCATAAGTACACTAAATGAGGTTTTTGGTAGTGTTTTATTAAAATTAGATCAAGCCTTGCAAGTTTGATCATTTGCCTGGTTATAATAGGTCCTGGCCTAGGACAGAGAACACTTGGCATGTGTTTTAACCAGGTTACCTTAGGTGAGGTATGGTGAAGCCGGATGTAGATCAAGAAAGATAAATTAGAAAGAGATGTACAGTTTTTAATGCACACAATGCCCTGGAAAGAATGTAGCATACCACACAGGGCCACTCAAGGGAAGCACAGCAACCAGTGTCTAGGCAAGGCGAGGGAGGGCAACTGTGGGCAAGCTCATTTATTGTGTGCTTCCCAGGAAGGAAAAAGGGAGGCAGGGCAAGCAGGGTTAGAACTGGCTAATTTAAATAATTTCAGCAAGCTCTGGGGAATGGAGAATATACTTAGTTGTATGGTACCTGGCCCTGGGGGGTATAGAACAAGTGTATAGTAGCCTGGAGTGTGAGAGCCCCAAAGGGAAATGGGCAGGAATATGGACTTAACTGGCTGTTTAAGAAGAAAAACTGATCAGCCTTGAGGCAGAGCCTCAATACTATATTAAGACATTTTAAAAAATTATATTACAGCAAGTCATACTGAACTTTAAACATAATATTTACCTTATAGGTGTGTGTGCACCCACATGCATAGAGGCATCTTTGTACATTTAAATGTATATGCCCAAGCATTCAAGTAACTATTTTTGAAGTGAGTCTTCAACTTTTCAAATCTTCATGGTTTTTTATATTTTATTATGAGAAGCACCAACCACAATTAGTGTGGAAAGTGCTTTGGGGTTTAAGGACCACTGAGATTTTGTAATTATAAATTTTCATAATATACAGAAAGCAGTTGGTGGAGTGATAAAAATACATACTAATTTCTTCCTGGTACTTTCTGGATACCCACAATCTATAGAACATGCCCAGCTTTCTAAAGGTAAAAATAACAGTTTTTGAAATAAAGTTATACTGTATAGGATACACAGATTAGGCACTGTAGCAATCCAAAGTAAATGATAATAAACAAACAAAAAAAATCACTCCAAAGGATATCTTAATCAAATTTTAGAAAACTGTGATAATAGAAATTACTAAAAGCAGACAAGTAATTTTTTTAAAGTAACATTATGCACAGGATAACAGAAAAAGATCAGACAAAACTAGAGACATAGACACAACAAAAAAAATTGTTATTCATCGGAAGTCAAATTTCACTGGACATCCTATATTTTGTATGGCTTCCCTCACAATAACCAAAAAGATACACCATGCATATTTAAAATAAGAGATTTTTTTTTTTTACCTTGGATAGTAAGCTTTGAGCAATGATTGGATGAACTGGGAATGAGAATAAACATCAGCTCAATAGGAGAACTGAAATTATTCATGCTTGGATAGTGAAGTCTTAAGAACTTTTGTGTTTTGTTGTTATTTTCACATCTTTATTCATTATCTTCTACTAATTTTATTGAATGCTATATTTTAAGGGTTATAGCATCGACCCGGGAATTTCTAAAGTATTTCTTTACCACAACCTGGCTATTCCCTAAGCAAGACTTCCATTTTCTTAATAGCGTGCCTTTGTTTATTTTTTCTTTACTCAGTGTGTCCTACCTTCTTTTGGGTCAAGTCTGTTTCTGCTTTTTTCTCCTATTTACATTTCAAGGCCCCCTCAAATGTATTTTCTTCCCTTAAATGTATTTCCTTCCACATTATTTTTTATTAGGCCCATAACCACATAACCATAAAGAGAAAAACTTAGAAATTACCTAAATTTTCTGGTAGCAGTCTTTGCATACTTACAGCAATTGTTAAGTTGTCTTATAATTTCTCCCCAAATAGACTGAACTCCTTAATCACAGGGACAATATATTAACGATATTATTAATGACTGTTTCCAAAGGAGCAAGGTTGTTTATTGATTGGCATATAGATGCTCAAAATGTGGGTTCAGTAAAACTAAATTTGTAGGAATAATAATGTTTAAATTCTATAAGGGTCCCATAGTGTACTGGCATAGTGATCAACACGGATAAAGAGCAAATTATGCTATACTTTTTGGCCAGCTGCCTCATACAAAAAGATATCACAAATATTTGAAGGAATTTCTACTGTGGATCTTGGGGAATTTATTACTAGGTTTAGCAAATTGCTTGTACAGATCAATGGGCTGTTATGTTGACCTTTCACTGGTTGTTTGCTCTGATTTGGGCATTTACAATAAACTACGCTCTTAGCATTTCAACTCTGCTCTTCGCTTCCTTTTTAAAATGTTATGGCATCTTTGTCAGTAGGCATTGCTAAAAAACCAAGTTGATGTTTTTGTTTTTTTGGTTTTGATTTCTCCTCAGTGATGAAAAAGTGTATCTGTCTCAAAAGAAGAAAAGATCCAGAAATGTCCTTACAGAATATTATTTTTGCTTAGAGAAATATTTGTGTGGTATACAAATATAATTGTGGTTATAAGAAATATTGAAACTTCAGGGTGACATAGAATTTCATGAAAAAAGTAGAAAGCCAGCAAGTATAATTACAGGAAATATTGGTGCAAAATTATATTTCAACTTCTTAGAATTTAAACATTATTTGTATATATATGTCCATAGAACACTTGAAAACAAGATATAAATAGTTCAATATTAACAAGGTTGTTAACACACCCACAGCTTTGTTAATACTGAACTATTTATATCTTGTTTTTAAGTGTTCTATGGGAATATATTTATACACATACGTACACCCATATAATTTCATCCTTTGTGATTAACCAAACACACAATTTAGTATAATGTCACATTAGGTGTCAATTTTGTATAATGTCACATTAGGTGTCAATTTTGTGTCAGTAAAGATGCCCACCTAACATCAGAAGCTGTGATTACAATAACTGAAGAGATGTTTAATAAGAGTCAATGCCAAATTATTTTGAGGTGTTTGTATACACTTATTCTTTCTTAAATTGTTTTCATGCATTTCCTCATTTAATCTTATAGAGAAGGAAATTGAAACCTGGAACAGTTAAATAAACTTCTTAATATGATTTGGCTGTGTCCCGACCCAAATCTCATCTTGAATTCTCACATGTTGTGGGAGGGACCCAGTGGGAGGTAACTGAATCATGAGGACAGGTCTTTCCTGTGCTGTTCTCGTGATAGTGAATAAGTCTCATGAGGTCTGATGGCTTTATAAGGTGGAGTTTCCTTGTACAAGTTCTCTCTCTTTGCCTGCTGCCATCCATGTAAGATGTGACTTGCTCCTCCTTGTTTTCCTCCATAATCATGAGGCTTCTCCAGCCATGTGAAACTGTAAGTGCAATTAAACCTCTTTCTTTTGTAATTTGCCCAGTCCCAGGTCATCTTCAGCAGCAGTATAAAAATGGACTAACACACTTCCCATTATTAAAAACTATTGTAGTATAACTAGGATTGGAACACCATTTTTCAATCTCTTAGACTGTGGGAAACTTCAGCCATCTTATAATGTCTTATGTAACATAACCTAAAAAGCAGAGATTATTGGAAGAAAAATGTATAAGCATTGCAGATAAGAAACTTAAACTTTAACAAATGATGAGGGATCAGTTCAGTGACTGATAGAAGAGGGGACCAATGAGGTTACTTACAGGAGGGTTTTCAGATGAGGCAACTAGAGTTGTGTCATGGCAGATAGTAGAAAGAAATGGATTTATTCATTTATTTGGCGGATATTTGTTTAATGCTATATGCTAGATACTATTCTAGCTGCTGGGAATACAGTGTTAAATGTCATAGATAAAAACTTTATTCTTATTCCGTTAAAATAGAGCTGAACTTGAATAATAACAATGAAACCAGTTTGGAGAATGGCCGAGGGAAAAAATCTTTCCAGAAAAAGATAATATCATTGGCAGTAGTCCTGAGATGAAAAACACTGTCAAATTTGAGAAAAAGAAGTTAAGGTTGATAAGCCAAAGCCATCCTCATTATTGAGGATGGCTGGTTACATAATTAGTAGGTACTAATATCAAGTGAAAACTTGTTTAAAAATCACACAGGATTTCAGGGTAGCAACAGTGCCTGGGTGTGGTAGTACACACCAGTAGTCCCAGATACTGGGGAGGCTGAGGAGGGAGAATTGCTTGAGGCCAGGGGTTTGAATCCAGCCTGGGCAGCATAGAGAGACCCCATGTTAATAAAAGTAACTAACAGCAGAAGGTTAAACCAAACATGGGACCCTTCTGAGCACAGGGCCCTATGCAGAACCAATCCTGAAAATAATAAAGGAGAGAAGGGAAAAAAGTATGGTTGGAGAGAGAGAAGCCAGATTATACTGGGTCCTTAAGCCATGGGAAGATTCTGGATATTATTCTAAGTGTGATAAGAAGACAATGGAAAACTTTCAACAGGAAGTAAGGAGAATTTAATTATAAAGGCACAGTCTAGCTCCTGTGCGGAATGGAACATTTGGGCAATGAGGAGAAACAAAGGTAACAGTTACTAGGCTGTGGCAGTAGGTCTGGAATTTGTAGAAAGACTATGCAGGGCTGTCCAGTATCAACAAGAAAGTAAGAGCCAAGTAGTGAGAAGCAGCAGCAGCTATCAATTAGGGCTATAGATATAGGGATATTTAGGAGGAAGGGACTGGGGAAGAGAAAGAAGTGGACAATTGAAGGAAACAACTTTGCTGTATTTATAAAAGTGTTTAGTGGGCTGAGGGCAGTGGTGTGTTCATAAAAGTTTGTCAAATAGATCTCCAAAAGACAGTATTTGTACATATACGTATGCATAAGTTTATTATAAATTAGGCAACTATAAATGTATAATATAAAACTTTTATATAATAAAGTGCATAAGATCTTTTATTGGACATTGAATAAAGCCTATTAATTATCACAGAATGCTTTTATTGATTTTTGCCAAAATCATATATCATCCATTGACAACCCATGGCTGCAAATGCTGATCAGGTGCACTTACAACAGGAATGTTGATCAGTATTTTTGTTTACATTAATTAGTAAGATAACTGTGAAAGAACAAATGTATATTTTGGAATTTCATCCATTCGTCAATGACTTAAGTGACGTGTATTCTGAATCAGATTTTCATTAGTCTGGCTTTTTAAAATCAGGTGTTTATCAGTCACTGAAGTGATCCTTTTTGGTTCATGCATGTTATGCTCTATTCTTCCTTTCAATCACAATCCATGCTTCCTTGGCGGTGCTATAAAACATTCTGAAGGGAAGGGCGTGATGACTCACACCTGTAATCCCAGCACATTGGGAGGGCGAGGTGGGCAGATCATCTGAGGTCAGGAGTTTGAGACCAGCCTGGCCAACATGGTGAAACCCGGTTGCTACTAAAAATACAAAAATTAGCCAGGTGTAGTGGTGCGCGCCGTACTCAGGAGAATCGCTTGAACCCGGGAGGTGGAGGTTGCAGTGACCCGAGATCACATCACTGCACTCCAGCCTGGGCAACAAGAGTGAAAACTCTGTCTCCAAAAAACAAACAAAAATTATGAAAAGGCTACGAAGAAGTTCAATGTGGCTTAAGAAGAATAAGGATTGGAATTCAAATCCTGGCTACATTTACTCATAGCCCATGTGACAATAAACATGTTACTTAATTGCCACAGGTGTCAGTTTCCTTATCTGTAATACTTACGGTGTTGCCTTGGCTATGTGGGCTCTTATTTGTTTCCATATGAATTTTAAAATAGTGTTTACTACTCCTATGAAGAATCTCAGTGGTAATTTTATAGGAATAGCATTAAATCTATTAATTGCTTTGGACAGTATAGCCATTTTTACGATATAGATTCTTCCTATCCATGAGCATGAGATGTTTTTCCATTTGTTTGTGTCATCTCTGATTTGAGCAGTGTTTTTTAGTTCTCATTGTAGAGATCTATCACCTCCATAGTTACCTGTATTCGTAGGTTTTTTATTCTTTTTGTGGCAATTGTGAATGGGATAGCATTTCTGATTTGGCTCTCGGCTTGACTGTTGTTTGTGTATAGGAATGGTACTAATTTTGGCACATTGGTTGTGTATCCTTAGACTTTGCTGAATTTGTTTATCAGCTTCAGGAGCTTTTGGACCAAGACTATGGGGTTTTCTAGATATAGGATCATGTCGTCTCCAAACAGAGATAGTTTGATTTCCTCTCTTCCTATTTGGATGTACTTTCTTTTTTCTCTTGCTTGATTTGCCCTGGCCAGGACATCCAATACTATACCTAATAGGAGTGGTGAGAGAGGGCATCCCTGTCTCATGCCGATTTTCAAAGAGAAAGTTTCAGCTTTCGCCCATTCTGTATGATTTTGGCTGTGGATTTGTTACAGATGGCTAGTTTTATTTTGAGACATGCTCCTTCAATACCTACTTTATTGAGAGTTTTTAACATAAGGGAGTGTTGAATTTTATGAAGGCCTTTTCTGCATCTATTGAGATGATAATTTTTTACTATAATTCTGTTAGTGTGATTAATCACATTTATTGATTTGAATATGTTGAAGAAACCTTGCATCCCAGGGGTAAAGCCTACTTGATTATGGTGGACAAGCTTTTTGATGTGCTGCTGGATTTGGTGTGCCAATATGTTTTGAGGATTTCTGCATTGATGGGTCATCAAAGATATTGGCCTTAAGTTTTTGCTGCTGTTGTATCTCTGACAGGTTTTGGCATCAGGATGATGCTGGCATCATAGAATGAGTTAGGGAGGAGTCCCTCCACCTCAGTATTTTTAGAATAGTTTCAGCAGGAATGGTACCAGCTTTTTGTATGTCGAGTAGAATTCAGCTGTGAATCTGTCTGGTCCTGCCTGGGTGGTTTTTTTTTTTTTTTTTTTTTTTTTTTTTTTTTTTTTTTTTTTTTGCGGTGGTGGGGGGCGTTGTTAGGCTTTTAATTACTGACTCAATGTCAGAAGTCATTGTCTGTTGAAGGATTCAGTTTCTTCCTGTTTCACTCTTGGGAGGGTGCATGTGTTCAGAAATTATTCATTTCTTCTAGATTTTCTACTTTATATGCATAGAGGTCTTTATAATATTATCTGATGGTTGTTTTTCTGTGAGATCACTGGTAATAAGCAAAAAAAGAACAAAGCTGGAGGCATCACACTATCCACCTTCAAACTATACTACAGGGCTACAGTAACCAAAACAGCATGGTACTGGTACAAAAACAGAGGCAGAGACCAGTGGAATAGAATAGAGGACACAGAAATAAAGTGGCACACCTACAGCTATCTAATCTTTGACAAACCTGACAAAAAACAAGCAATGGGAAAAGGATTCCATAATCAATAAATGGTGCTGGGACAACTGGCTAGCCATATACAGAAGATTAAAACTGGATTATATCTTTATACCATATAAAACAATTAACTCATGATGGATTAAAGACTTAAATGTAAAACCCAAATTTATAAATAACCTGGAAGACAAACTAGGCACTGCCATTCTGGACATAGGAACTGGCAAAAATTTCATGACAAAGACACCAGAAGCAATTGCAACAAAAGCAAAAATTGACAAATGGGATCTAATTAAATCAAAGAGCTTCTGCACAGCCAAAGAAACTATCATCAGAGTGAAGAGACTACCTACGGAATGGGAGAAATTTTTTGCAGACTATGCATCTGACAAAAGTCTGATATCCAGCATCTATGAGGAACTTAAATTTACAAGAAAAAACAACCCCATTAGAATTGGGCAAAGGATATGAACAGATACTTTACAAAAGAAGACATACATGCAGCCAACAAGCATATTGAGAATGAGTTCATCTGGCTGGGCACAGTGGCTCATGCCTATAATCCCAGCAATTTGGGAGGCCGAGGCAGGTGGATCATCTGAGGTCAGGAGTGCAAGACCAGCCTGGCTAACATGGTGAAACCCTGTCTCTACTAAAAATACAAAAAATTATCTGGGCTTGCTAGTGTGAGCCTGTAGTCCCAGCTACATGGGAGGCTGAGGCAGGAGAATTGCTTGAACGTGGGAGCTGGAGGTTGCAGTGAGCCGAGATCGTGCGACTGCACACCAGCCTGGGTGACAGAGTGAGACTGTCTCAAAGAAAGAAAGAAAATAGGCTCATGATCACTGACCATTAGAGAAATGCAAATCAAAATTCCAGTCAGATACCATCTCACACCAGTCAGAATGGCGATTATTAAAAAGTCAAAATAACAGATGCTGGCAAGATTGTAGAGAAAAAGGAATGCTTATACACTGTTGGTAGGAGTGTAAATTAGTTCAATCATGGTGGAAGACCAATTTCTCAAAGACCGAAAAACAGAAATAACATTCTATACAGGATTCCCATTACTGGGTATATACCCAAAGTAATATACATCATTCTATTATAAAGATATATCACACATATGTTCATTGAAGTACTATTCACAATAACAAGGACATGGAATCAACCTAAATGCCCCTCAATAGTAGACTGGATCCAGAAATGTGGTACATGTACACCATGGAATATTATGCAGCCATAAAACAGAATGCAATCATGTCTTTTGCAGGGACATGGATGGAGGTGGAGGCCATTATCCTTAGCAAATTAACACAGGAACAGAAAACCAAATACTGCATGTTCTCATTTATATGTGGGAGCTAAATGAGAACACATTGACATGTAGAGAAGAACAACACATACTGGGGCCTATTGGAGGCTGGAAGGGGGGATGAGGGAGAGGATCAGGAAAAATTACTAATGGGTGCTAGGCTTAATACCTGGGTGATAAAGTCTGTACAATAAAGCCCCATCATACAAGTTTCCCTATATAACAAAACCTGCACATGTACCCCTGAATTTAAAATAAAAGTTAATTTAAAAAACCTCATAGTGGTCTATAAATTCAATGAGAACTACTGGTAGTTTACAAACAAACAGTCCTCATTTTTGTGCTATTCCCAATGATGTTGCAACAGATAGGTTTAATTTGAATTATTAATATTTTCTTAAACTTACAAAGTCAACAAAGCAATAAATAGAGCCCTAGTAAAAGATAGCACATTCTATGGTGTAAATATTTCAACTACATTTAATTTTAACAAAGCACTGAACAGAGTTAGGAAAGGATGCACAGTAACAGATTTATGCAGTATTTTTATCAGAAATGAAATAGACATAAATAACCTCAAGAGCAAAGTTAACAGTAAAATAAATATGAAGTGATGTGTTTTAAGTATATATTACCCTTGTTTTTGATATGACTTAATTTTAAATAATGGCTATTTATAACAAATAGCTTGAGAATTTCTGAATATTTAAGAGCTATTATAAGCTGGCATCCACAGTCTCTAGCACATCACTGGGTCAGGGACTTAGCTTTATGGGTTTCCATTCTTTTTTCAGGTAAGGAGTCACCTGTGATTATATTTTCTGAGAGTTTTTTTTACTGCTTAACATGTGTTGGTTCAGTTAGGGTCTGCTCCCTTAGCTCACATAGTCTTAGTATCAACCATCATGACCATCTTAGAATATTCCAAAGTCTGCCCAGTAGGAACACAAAGACTCACAGTTCCCAATGCTATTCCATAATAATATTGCTGTACAGCTCACTATTCTTCTCTGCAATGACTAAATTTGTCAATTTAAATTTAAAGTATTTTTTAAGAATATTATTTTTATTATTGTATTTTAACTTTTTTATACGAAATATTTCCTTTATATACTATTTATTTTAACAAGAAACATCTGGAATACAGAACAAACTTTCTGATTACTGGTTTTGAACTTATTTTAAAAAGGCAGAATGTTCCACTGCATTGTCACAATGTTTAAGACAAGATTTCCTCTCACCTTACATATATATAACAAAAAGTAGATTGACTTTTACAACCCAAAATGGACATATTTCTCTTGCTCTCTATATTAGTAAATATGTTTGTTTTTCTAACATTCCCAACCTAAAATTCTTTTCACACTTGAGGTGTTTTTAATTATTCATTCTATCTTTTTTACAGTAAATACGCACACACACACACACACACACATATATATATATCATAAAGAAAAAATGGATCTCTTAATTTTTCCACCGTTTCTGAAGGGCTTTTATTTTATAACAAATTTATTGAGATGTAATTAACACCCATAATATGACATAATTTACATACCATGAATCCATCCATTTAAAATGTACAATTCAATGGTTTTTAGTCTATTCACAGAATTATGAAAACATCAACACAATAAATTTTAAAACATTTCTTCCAAAAGAAATCCCATTCTCTTTAGCAATGACTGCCAGTATTAACCCCAAACCTATAGCCCCAGCCCTAGGCCACCACTATTCTATAATACTTTCTGTCCATAGATTTGGCTACCCTGGATATTTGATATACATAGAATCGTATAATATGTGATCTTTTGTGACTACCTTTTCATACTCTTGATATGTTTTCAATGTCCATCCGTGTCATAGCATAAATCAGTACTTCATTTTTTTTATTGCAGAATGATTTTCCCTTGTATGAATATACAACATTTTACTCTTCTATTCTTCAGTTTGTGGATACTTGGGTTAGTTCTACTTTCTGACTATTATGAATAATGCTGCTATAAACATAACATACATGAATGAATTTTTTTTTTGGAAATGTGTTTTTAATTATCTTGGGGATATTTCTAGAACTAGAATCACTGTCATATAGTAACTAACTATGTTTAACATCGTGAGGAAGTGCCACACCATTTATCAGAGTAGCTGTGCCATTTTATAAGAATTCCCACTAGCAGTGTATGAGAGTTTCAATTTTCCCACGTGCTCACCAACTTTTGTTACCCACCTTTTTTTAAAATTATAACCATCCTAGTATATGTGCAGTGATAGCTCATTGAGGTTTTGTATTTCACTAATGATTAATGGTACTGAGCATTTTTTCATGTGCTTATTGGCCATTTTCTTTGGAAAAGTATGCATTCAAATAGTTTGTCCATTTGAAAAACTGGGTTGTTTCTTTATTGTTGAGTTGCAAGGGTTTTTTATATATTGTTGAATCTAGTCCTTTATCAGATATATGATTTAAAAATAGTTTCTTCCATTCTGTGGATTTCCTGTTCACTTTGCTAATAGTGTCTTTTGAAGCATAAAGTGTCTAATTTTGATGAAGCCCAATTTATGTATCCTATGTAGCTTATGTTTTTGGTGTTACATCTAAGAAATTATTGCCTAATCTTAGGCCACAAATATTTATGCCTATTTTTCTCCTAAGATTTTTACAAGTTTTAGCTTTTTTAAGTATTTGAATTATTGTCAGATAATGTTTGTATACGGTATAATTAGAAGTTCAACGTCATTCTTTTGCTTGTGTGTCTTAAATTGTTGCAGCACTATTGGTTGAAAAGAATTTTGGATAGTCGACTGACCATATACGTAAGGCTTTATTTCTGGACTCCCAATTATGTTTCATTGATCTATGTATCTATCTTTATGCCAGTACCACACAATTTTGATTACTGTGGCTTTGTATTAAGTTCTGAAATGAACAAGTTTTGGTTCTCTAACTTGGTTCTTTTCCAGATTGTTTTGGTTATTCTGGTTCTCTCAAATTTTTAAATGAATTTTGGGATCGATTTCATCAACTAAATAAAGACAGCAGTGGTTTTGATAAAACTATTGAATCTATAGATTGATTTGGGGAGACTGACATGTTAACAATATTAAATCTTTCAATCCATGAGCATGGGAGGTCTTTTTATGTAGGTTTTTAAAAATGTCAATAGTATTTTGTAGCTTTTATTGTACAGTGTGGCACAACTTTATTTTTTAAATAATTTTAATCTTTTTGATGCTATTTTAAATGGATTTTTTAAAATTTTAATCTTTGATTATTTGTTTTTAATGTATAGCAATGCCAGTGATTTTTGTATATCATGTATTGCATGTTTTGTGGTTTGAGACATCATGAGGCTTGTAAATACTATCTTATAACTTATTTTAACCTTCTAATAATACTATTTGCATAAACAAACAAGAAATAAGAAAACTAATAAAAACTTGCCTTGTGTTTTTTCTATTTTATTGTATTATGTCTTGAAAAGTAGTCCTAGTCATTATTTTTGATCTGTTTAGTCCTTCTACTTAGGAGAAGACTAGTTTACACACCACAGTTACAGTGTTATAATTTTCTGTGACTTTCTGTGTACTTACTATTATCTGTAAGTTTTGTACTTTCAGATGATTATTGCTCATGAGTTTCCTTTTCTGATTGAAATACTCCATTTAGCATTTATTGTGGAACAGGTCAAGTATAGATAAACCCTCAGCTTTTGTTTGTCTGGCAAAGTCTTTATTTCATGTTTGAACCATATTTTTGCCAGATATACTATTCTAGGGTAAAATATTGTTTTTTTATTCCTTCAACACTTTAAATATGTTGACACTCTTTCCTTGCCTTGTAAAGTTTCTGCTGAAAAGTCTGCTGCTCCACTGTATATTATTTGTTTCTTTTCTTTTGCAGGTTTTAGTATTCTTTCTTCATTTTTGACCTTTTGGAGTGTGATAACTGAATGCTTAGAGGTAGTCGTCTTTGGGTTAAATCTGCTTGGTGGTTTATAACCTTCTTGTACTTATTGATCTCTTTCTCTACGTTTTGAAAGTTATCTGTTTTTATCCTTAGAATAAATTTTCTACCCTTCCTCTTTCTTTACCTCCCCCTTAAGGCCAGTAACTCTCAGATGTGCGTTTTTGAGGCTATTTTCTTGATCTTTTAGTAATGCTATTTTCTAGATCCTGTAGGAGTGCTTCATTGCTTTTCCTCTTTTACATGTGTTTGTGTAAGTGCTGGTATTGAAATTTTAAGTTTAGGGGTACATAGAAAAGTTTGTTATATGGGTAAACTTGCATCATGGGGGTTAATTGTACAGACTGTTTTGTCACTCAGATATTAAGCCTAGTATCCATTAGTTATTTTTTTGATTATTTCCCTCCACCCACCCTCCACTTCCTGGTCAATGCCAGTGTGTGTTGTTCCCTCTATGTGTCCAAGGGTTCCCATCATTTAGCTTCTACTGATAAGTGGGAACATATAGTATTTGATTTTCTGTTTCTGTGTTAGTTTACTCAGGATAATGGCCTCCAGTTCCATCCATGTCCCTGCAAAAGACATGATTGCATTCTATTTCATAGTTGCATAATATTACATGGTGTATATGTACCACATTTTATCAATTCTACCATTAATGGGCATTTAGGTTGATTCCATGTCTGTCCTGTTGTGAATATTGTTGCAATGAACATATGCATGCATGTGTCTTTATAATAGAAAAATTTATGTTTTTTTTTTAGGGGGAGGTATATACCTAGTCATGGGATGGGTGGGTCGAATGGTATTTCTGCTTTTAATTCTTTGAGGAATAGCCACACTCTCTTCCACAATGGTTGAACTAATTTAGATTCCCACCAACAGTGTATAAGCATTCCTTCTTCTCTGAAACCATGCCAGCATGTTGTTTTTTGACTTTTTAATAATAGCCGTTCTGACTGGTATGAGATGATATTTCTTTGTAGTTTTCATTTGCATTTCTCTAAGAATTGACCATGTTGAGCTTTTTTCCATATGCTTGTTGGCTGCATGTATGCCTTCTTTTGAAAAATGTCCATGTTCTTTGCCCACTTTTTAATGGGATTGTATTTTTCTTGTAAATTTGATTAAGTTCCACACCAATGCTGGATATTAGATCTCTGTCATATGCATAGTTTGCAACAGTTTTCTCCCATTCTGTAGGTTGTCTGTTAACTCTGTTAATAGTTTCTTTTGCTGTGCAGAAGCTCTTTAATTAGATTTTTGCTTTTGTTGCAATTGCTTTTGGTGTCTTTGTCATGAAATCTTTGCCCAATTTATATGTCCAGAATGGTTATCTCCCAGGGTTTTTATAACTTTGGGTTTTACATTTAAGTTTTTAATCCATCTTGAGTTTATTTTTGTATATGGTGTAAGGATGGGGTCCAGTTTCAATCTTCTGGCCAGTTACCTCAGCACCACTTATTAAATGGGGAATTCTTCCTCCATTGTTTGTTTTTGTCAGATTCGTCGAAGATCAGATAGTTGTATGTGTGCAGCCTTACTTCTGAGATCTCTATGCTGTTCCATTGGTCTATATATCTGTTTTTGTATCAGTACCATACTGTTTTGGTTACTATGCCCCTGCAGTGTAGTTTGAAGTCAGGTAGCACAATGCCTCCAGCTTTGTTCTTTTTGCTTAAGCTTGCCTTTGCTATTTGGGATTCTTTTGGTTCCATGCGAATTTTAAAATAGTTTTTTTTTTTTCTAGTTATGTTCTAGTTTTTTTCTAGTTCTGAAGTATCTCAATGGTAGGTTAACAGGAATAGCATTGAATCTGTACATTTCTTTGGGCAGTATAGCCATTTTAATGATACAGATTCTTCCTAGCCATAAGCATGGAATGTTTTTTCATGTGTTTGTGTCATCTCCGACTTCTTTGAGCAGTGTTCTTTAGTTCTCATTGTAGAGCTCTTTTACCTCCATAGTTACCTGTATTCCTAGGAATTTTCTTCTTTTTTGTGGCAATTGTGAATGGGATGGCATTTCTGATTTGGCTCTTGGCTTAACTGTTGTTTATGTATTGCAATGTTAGTCATTTTGGCACATTGACTTTGTATCCTGAGACTCTGCTAAAGTTGTTTATTAGCTTCGGGAGCTTTTGCGCCAAACCATGGAGTCTCCTAGATATAAGACTATGTCATTTCCAAACAGATAGTATGATTCCTCTCTTCCCATTTGGATGGCATTTATTTCTTTCACTTTCCTGATTGCCCTGGCCAGGACCTCCAAAACTGTATTAAATAGGATCAGTGAGAGAGGGCATCCTTGTGTTGTGCCAACTTTCAAGGGGAATGCTCCCAGCTTTTGCCTATTCTGTATGATGATGGCTGTGTTTGTCATAAATGGCTGGGATTTTGAGGTATGTCTCTTCAATACCTAGTTTATTGATAGTTTTAAACATAAAGAAGCGTTTAATTTTATCAAGTCTTTTCTGCATCTGTTAAAGTAATCATGTGGTTTTTGTCTTCAGTTCTGTTAATGTGATGAATCAAACTTATTGATTTGTGTATGTTGAACCAACCTTGCATCCCAGAGATAAAGCCTATTTGATTGTGATACATAAGTTATTTGAAGTTCTGTTAGATTTATTCTGCTAATATTGGATTGAGGATTTTTGCATCAGTGTTCATAAAGGATGCTGGCCTTGTCTTTTTTTGTTGTCTCGCTGCCAGGTTTCACTATGAGGATGATGGTTACCTGATAGAAAGAATTAGGGAGGAGTCTCCTCCTCATTTTTTTAAAATAGTTTTAGCAGGAATGGTACCTGCACTTCTTTCTGCATGTGGTAGAATTCAGCTGTGAATCCATAAGCTCCTGGGCTTTTTTGTGGTTAGGCTATTTATTACTGGCTCAATTTCAGAGCCCATTATTGGTCTCTTCAGGGTTTCAATTTCTTCCTGGTTCATTCTTGGGAGGGTGCAGTTGTCCAGGAATGTATTCATTTTCTCCACCTCTTTATTTTGAGCTTATGTGTGTCATTGTATGTGAGATGGGTCTGTTGAAGACAGCATACCAATGGGTCTTGATCCTTTATCCAGCTCACCACTCTGTCTTTGAATTGGGACATTTAGCCTATTTATTTACATGTAAGGTTTGTATTGATGTGTGTATATTTGATCCTGGCATCATGATGTTAGCTGGTTATTTTGCACACTTACGTGGTTGCTTTATAGTGACACTGGTCTGTGTACTTCAGTGTGCTTTTGTACTGGCTGGTAATGGTCTTTCCTTTCCATATTTAGTGCTTGCTTCATGACCTCTTGTAAGGCAGGTCTAGTGGTAATGAATTCCCTCAGCATTTGCTTGTATGAAAGGGATCTTATTTCTCCTTCACTTATGAAGCTTAGTTTGGCCAGATATAAAATTCTGGATTGGAATTTCTTTTCTTCAAGGATGTTTAATATTGGCCCCCAATCTCCTCTGCTTTTTAGGGTTTCAGCTGAGAGTTCCACTGTAAGTCTGATGGGCTTCCCATTGAAGGTGACCTGGCTTTTCTCTCTAGCAGCCTTTAACATTTTTTTTATACCTTACATAATTTGAAGATTATGCGTCTTGAGGATGATCTTCTTGTAGAGTATCTTACTGGGATTCTCTGCATTTCCTCCATTTGAATGCTGGCCTCTCTAGCTAGGTTGAGGAAGTTCTCAGGAATGATATCCTGAAATACGTTTTCCGATTATTTTCCCCTTCTCCTTATCTCTTACAGGGACACCAATCAGTCATAGAGTTGGTCTCTTTACATAATCTTATATTTCTTAGAGGTTTCTTAATTCCATTTCATTCCTTCTCTGTTATTGTCTGTGTTATTTCAGAAAGCCAGTCTTTAAGCTCAGATTATTTCCTCTGCTTTGTCTATTCTGTTACTAATACTCGTAATTGGTTGCATTAAGAGTGATTGTAGTGTGTTTTTCAGCTCTCTCAGGTTAGTTACATTCTTTTCTATACTGGCTATTTCATTTTGTCAGTTTCTTCATTTTTTATCATAATCTTTATCTTCCTTGTATTAGATTTCAATGTACTCCTGTAGCTCAATGATCTTAATTCATATCCACATTCTGAATTCTATTTGTGTCATTTCAGCCATATTAGGCTGGTTCAGACCTCTTGCTGGAGAAGTGATGCAGTCATTTGGTTGCTTTTGGACTTTTCAGGGTTCTTGTGTGGATTCTCATCTTTGTGAGTTTACCTTTAATCTTTGAGGTTGCTGACCTCAAAGGTTATCCTATTTGATAACCTTGAGAATTTGATTGTGGTATAAGATGGATTCAACTGACTGGCTTTGTTTTGGGAAGATTTTATTGGGCCGAGGCTCAGCTCCCAACTTCTGGACTGTGTGCTCTAACTCTGGGACACTTGTATTAGTCCCCGACATTGTTCTCTGGCTCCTTGAGATTAGGAATCCACTGTGCTGAGGGGACGAGGTGTGGCAGCTGCAGAAGAGTGCTAGTGGGTGCTGAGGTGCCTGCCTTTCTGAGGGAGTTCACCCCAGTGGTGGAAGCAACACAGCCGGGGGCAAAATAGAGGTCCCCTACTGGAAACTGTGTGTGTGGGCACACTGGAGGTGGTGTTGGCTTGGGGGCAATGTGCTGGCAGGTGCACGTCTGGGTACCTTTTTTGTGCCTCATAAACAGGAGTGATCTCTCCGAGTTGGGGAGGATCTACTGTTCTCTGTGCATTGTTAGCACAGTGGTGGGGTGCTGGTGGGTACGGGGCTAGATGGCTGGCTCTGTGCCTGCCAAGGCTTCATCTGCAGGGGGTAGATGGGGCAAGGAAAGCAAAACCTGCCCATGCAGACAAACACCAGCAAAGCAATATGCGGAGCTGCCCCGCTGGAGCTCTGTCAGTTGGGCATGGTCTACCAGTGCAGAAACTATGGTGCAGTGCCCCCACCCTGCCCACCACCCAAGGGAAAGCACGACTGTCCAGCAACCAGGCATGGCTATGCTGGGACTCCAGGAGAAGCCAGCAGAGCGAAGCGTTCGCAGGTCCAACCAGCCCCATCTCATGGGCAAAACTGCCCAGTATAAATCAGGTCTGACAGTTCCCCTAGGGCAAAAGTCTCCTACGGGAGCAAGTCAAGCATAGGGCGATGGCCAGTTCTGGCTGAGCTTGACTGTAGACATTCCTGTACCAAATGCTCTGGACTTTACATCAGCTGGCTTGCTGCCCCTACCACTTCTCTAAGCATCTGTCCCTGCCAACTTGAGTGTCTGTGGGTGATCAAGGGGCCTCTTTCTGTGAAGGTTCCAGAGGCCTGCAGTGAGAGTCAGCTGCTCCTTCACAGTTCAACTCACTCGTTCTCCTGGAGCCAGGAACAAGTCCTCATGTGTGATAGCCCCATGCAGGGTTCCCAGCTTTCTCCACATTCAGCCCAGCTTCTGTGTCTTCCTTCTGTCTACTCTCTGCCTAGCAGTCATGTTTGTTAGAGATATGCCTGTTGTCTCAGTCCCTGTGTGGGAGCTGTTCCACTTGGTTGCGTCTAGTAAGTCATCTTGCCCCTTAATGTTTCATTGTTTTTTCTTTTTTCAAATAGCCTATCTTCAAACTGATTTTTTCTGTTTGATCAATTCTGCTATTAAGGAACTCTGATGCATTCTTCAGTATGCCAATTGCATTTTTCAACTCCAGAATTTCTGCTTCTTTTACTTCAATCTCCATTGAATTTATCTGATCAAAATATGAATTCTGTCTTTGTGTTACCTTGAATTTCTTTGTGTTTCTTCAATGCAGCTATTTTGAATTTTCTGTTGAAAGGCTATATATCATTGTTACTCCAGGATTTGACCTTGGTGCCTTATTTAGTTCATTTGTTGAAGTCATGTTTTCCTGAATGGTGTTGATGCTAGCAGATGTTCTTTTGGTGTCTGGGCATTGAAGAGTTAGGTATTTATTGTAGTCTTCACTGTCTGGGTTTATTTGTAGCCATCATTATTGGGAAAGCTTTCTGGCTATTTGTCTGGACTTGAGTGTCATGATCTAGACTTGAGATGCTTCAGAGAGCACCCCAAGCTCAGTAATGCTGTGGTTCTTGCAGACTCACAGAGGTACCACCTTGATGGTCTTGGACAATATCTGGGAGAATTCTCACAATGATCACACAGAGACTTTTCTTCCCTTACTCCCAAACATAGAGCCTGTCTGTTCTGAGCCACCTCAAGCTTGGGATGGAGTGACACAAGCACACCTGAGACCGCCCCCTACTGTGACTTCACTGGGTCTCACCCAAGGCCTGCTTTAACTACTCCCTGGCCAACACCTATGTTCAGTGAAGGCCCTGGGGTTCTATAGTCAGCAGGTGGCAAAGGCACACCAGCCTGTGTCCTTCACTTTGGAGCAGTGAGGTTCCCTTCAGCCTCAGGTGTGTCTAGAAGGGCCATCTGGGAGTCAGCAACTGAAGTCAAACATTTTAGAACTCTACCTGGTATTCTACTGTACTGTGTGCAGCTGTCAGCTGAGTTTGATCTCCACCTTTCTTTTTTTTTTGATCCAAGGCAAATGAGCCTTACCCGGTAGCCACCACCATCCCTGGCCATGAAGAGTACTACCAGACTACCACCAATGTTTACCTAATGCCCAAGGTCTTTTAAGTCAGCTTGTGAATACTTTTTGGCCTGGAACTCACCCTTCAGGGCAGTGGGCTCCCATCTGGCCCGGGGAAGATCCAGAAAGGTCACCCAAGAGTCAAGTTCTGAAATCGGGAACCCCAAGAACCTGCTTGGTGCTCTGCCCTTCTGTAGTGGTGTTCATACCTAAGGTGCAAGACAAGGTCCCCTTTACTTTCTGTCTGCTTTTCTTAAGCAGGGGGAGTTTTACCCCATAGCCACCATGCTGGTCATATGCTGAGTCTTACCGGAAGCCAGAAAGTCTCAAGGCTCACCAAGACCCTCGATGTAGTAGTACCTGGGTCTTGCCCGTTTGTTGTCTCTTCAAGTTCTTGGTTGATTTTTAATTGTTATTTGTTTTCTTTCTGTTGAGTTCTTATATTTTAGATATTAACCCCATGTCTCTTCACTCTGTTGATTGTTTCCTTACTTGTGCAGAAGTTTCTAGTTGATTTAGTCCCATTTGTCTATGTTTGTTTTTGTTGCTTGTGAGGTGGGGGCCATATCTAAAAAATTATTGTCCAAACGAGTGTCAAGAAGCTATTTCTCTATGTTTTATTCCAATAGTTTTAGCTTTTTGTTTCATCTTTAAATTCCTTTGTTTATAAATGTTTTATATGTACTTAATATGTACATATATTTTTAAAGTAAATATAAAACATTTGTAAACAAGATAATGCATATTAAGTACATATAAAAATTTCATCTTTAAATTCCTTTCAAGTTGATTTTTTAATATGGTGTGAGAGAGGGTGCAATTTCATTTTTCAGCACATGGATATCCATTTGTCTCCACGCAGTTCACTGAAGAGACTGTCTTATCTCCATTGTCTGTTCTTGGCATCATCACATGACTGTAAATATGTAGTTTTATTTCCAGGTTCTCTATTCTACTGGTGCCTATTTCTATACCATCACCACGATGTTTTGATTACCATAGCTTTGTGGTATACTTGAAGTCAAATAATGTTTGCAATGCCTCTGGTTTGTTCTTTTACTGAAAATTGTTGTGGGAATTCAGGGACTTTATGGTTCCATGTGACTTTGTTTCTGTGAAAACTGTCATTGGATATGGCCTCTTGCTGGGGCCATCCTGGAGGCTCCATCTGTGGGTAACAGCTTAGGGTCTGGGGCAGTCCTGGTGTATAAGTCCAAGGCAAAGTCTTGTGCTCATTTCTGTCTCCTTGGGGAATGAAGGGTGTCTGTTTTCAAATTGTGCTGCTGGTCAGGAAAGGGGTAACAGGGACAATGTAAAAACTCTTCTTTCTCCTGTGTTCAATGCATTTTTTTTCTTATTTATGTTCTACATCTAGATGCTGTGATCTCTCATCTGGTTCATTTAGCTCTTATGAAAGTATATTTTACATGCAGGCAGTGATTCAAGTTGCTACTACTCTAGGGGTATTCAAGGTATAAAGTCTATGAAGTCTTACTCTGCAATCTTGCAATATCTATCCCCAACCCAAAATTTATTGTCTGTTGTTTTATGCAATTGTTTTTTAAAATCAGGTAGAAAAAATTTCTACAAAAATACCATCTTTCATATTCACCTATGTAGTTATTTCTAGCACTGCTTCATATTCATGGCAATTATTTTACCTTCCTTTTACTTCAGCCTGATAAACTTCAATACTTCTTGTAAAGACTGGTATTGCCGAATTCTCTCACATTTTTCTTGTTGTTTTGTTTTTCTTTTATATTGGAAGTATTTCTTTTGCCTTGTTTTGAGCCTTTTTCTGTTTGTTAGCACTTTGAATATGTCATTCCACTGTGTTCTGGGTTCCATAGTTTTTCTCAAAGTTGGCTATATTAATCTATTTTAAGCCATTTTTATGTGATGACTCACCTCTCTCTTCCTGATTTCAAGAGTCTATTTCTGTTTTGTTTTTCAAAGTTCAACTATGATTTGTCTAAGTTTGCATTTCTTGGAGTTTATCCAAGTTAGAGTTGTCTGAGCGTTGATGTGTTAATTTTTCCAGGTTTTGGAAGTTTGTGGTCATTTTTGCTTCAAATATTCTTAGGCTCCTTATTCTAGTTTAACTCCAGAATTTCTATTCTGTTTTTAAATAATCTCTATTGATGTGTTCTATTTTGATAGACATCATCTCAATCCTTCCATAGATATTAAGAATGGTTCATTTAGTTCTTCGCATATATTTATATTAGCCAATTTTAAGTAAATGACTAGTAATTTTAATATTTGCCTTCCTTGGGATCAGTTTCTACTGATTGCTTTTTTATTTTTTGTAAGTGCCATAATTTCCTGGTTCTCTCATGTGTGTTTCTTTCTCCTAATCAAACCAGCTACCCCAAGGTTTGTTTAATGATTTTCCTGGGCTATTCTCTTTCATATTTAGCCATAGGAGTCACTCATTAGCTTAGAGATAAACTAGTGATTGGTCAGAGATCTCCTTAAATGCCCTGAACATGCAAGGGGACTTCTGTATTACCAGAAATATATGGGAAGTTTTCAAAGCCCCATTAACACCTAATTTGCTAGTTTTTCCTTTGTAGTCTGGTGGTCCTAAACTTAGGTAGATGCAGTTGTAAACATTTGCCACTAATTGTTTTCTGACTATGCCCTGGGGTTAGATAAAGACTATCACAGAGAATGGACTTCTCCAGAGTAATTGTCAGGACAAATGGTGACAGTCCTCTAAGAGATCAAGCCCTAAGATGTGAATTAAACCCATAAAGGTAAGTACTTTGAGGCAGATTGTGCTCTGGAGCCTGCAGCAACAGTCATCCCCAGGATAAAAAACTTTAAGTAGAAAGAGCATTGGTGTATTTTATGAAACCTATTCTAATCCCTCTAGTGACTTTTAGAAGGCTAATGTTCATAGCTACCAGGGTGGTATGCCTGTCGGTTGTCAATGTTACTGCAGAGCTGGGTAGAGGACATGGGTAGAGGGTAAGTTAAAATGCCACAAAGCTCACTGTTCTTACCAAGAGTCAGCCATTTTCTTGAGTAAAATGCTTCAGATTGTTGCAAATCTTGGGGTAGTTTCCCCAGTTCCATATTAAGAAAAAGATTTTCAGAGGTCTTCTTTCCAAAAGCACTTTCCTGCAGTGTATTCCTAAGTACACAAATAAAGTAGAAAAAAAATTATATATGTGATTTTGATCATGACATCACTTTTATAGTTACATGGATATCCTCAGTAATATGGATTTTACTTAAATAATACAACGAAATGTCAAAATTTTTCAACAATTTGCATCCTTACCATAGCTACTCAAGGATGAAAAGGTTTTTCATTTAGCGTCTCCTGAAATCCTCAAAATTGTGCACTTTGCCTATAAGAACTATACAATTTTATCTAAATCTCAGAAATCTCAGATGTCTACCATTTAAATATTACTGTCCTACCCCAACTCCCCAAAACTAATAAATTATCTACTATTTTGTGAGCAGTTACTTTGTGCCAGACACAATTTTAAAATCTTGTGTATAATTTTCCCAGCAACCCTGGGATAATTACTCCCATTATATAGATGGTATCAGTACATTCAACAACTTGGCAGATATTTCAGAGCTTCTGAGGGTTAAAGTCGTGATTTAAACCCATAAAGGTAAGTAGCTACAGGTAGATTGTGGCAACAGCTATCTCCAATAAAAATATATCCAGGAGAAAAAAAACCTTTAGGTGGGAAAGGCGCTGGTGCATTTTACACATAAGTAACCAGTCAGAACATTGCTTTCTCCGCCACGTAATATAATTGGTAATTATGGTCCTAATAGAAATAGGCTTGACAAATGCCAGCAGTATGTGTGTTAAATTCTCATCTGATTATATCATATCATAGTCGCAGGGACCCCACAATAAGTGTCAAAGGAAACTCAGGTTTATCAACAAATGTTTAAGGTCAGTGTTCTGTGTCCCCTGTGTAGTCAAACCACAGCAGAGCAATGACAGCTATACCTGAAAAGGAGAAGTATACTGTTCACACACTGCTGGGCTGAAGTTTCCCACATGCTGTGTTCCAAGGGAATACAACCTGTCTGAATGCAAAGTCTTTAGGACATGTTCTCTATGCAGTCATTTCTAAATTTTGCATTAGAGGAATCACATTTGCTTGTCTAAGACAACCTCTCTCCAAAGTCTGACTCATAAATGTACTACTCATTTTTCTAAAACACACTGCAATGTGATTCATACACCCCAGGGCAAGATTGGGTATTAAATCAATGTCAGGCTCTGTGATTTTTCATCAGGTTTGGTTCTGTGATAGAACTATTTAGCTTGAAAATATTTTTGTACTTTGAAGGTAACTTTGTAACACCTAAAGGAGGTCAAGAATGGAAGCATTTCAGATTGCACTTGTATGTGTGTAAGTATATATAAACATATTATGTGTCTGTATACAGAGTGAGGAAAACATTAACACAATCTGCATTAATCATAGTTGTCTGCTATTAATTTTCTATTATAGGCACTCTACTGCTGCAGCATATATATATATATATATATATATATATATATACACACACACATAGATAACATTTTACATAAAGGAATGACTGTCTCTTGTTTGTTCTTTTATGTCTAGCAAATAGTATACTGCCTAGAACATAATATGCCCTCCATCAATATTATGAACAAAATAACATGATTTAAAATTTAGCTTTATAATAGCCATGAAGCAAGTATTCCTAGTTTATAGATGAGTTAATGGAGTCTCTTGCTATAAAGAAGGTTACTGTTAACTGTTCATACTACTAGTAGATGCAGATCTATCACACAAGGAGCTCTCCTCTATTAAATGAAATAATAAGCACCCAATCTATTTTGCAGGAAGCTAATAAGATAGTGAATCTGATCGTTCAGTCCATGGTTAATGTTTCGCCTTAATCATATATTTTATAACTCATAGATCCTTTCTGAAACATACCACTGATTCTCTGGTTTAATCAATCAGATGATACCCTTTTTGAAGTCCCAGGTAGTACCTAGCCCAGATTAGTAATCCATCGGTTTCACATTGCTAACACTCTATTACACATGGAATATACTTAGCTTTTATGTTACAATCCCACCTGTGTCCCAAGGTCCAATTTGGAGTATATTTCTCTGTATATGTATTTCTAATCAATTCTAAGTACTATTTCCTTTCTGTCTGTGTTCCTAACCTTTAGCATTACATTGTAACCACAATTTTAGTCAATTACTTAATATTTGCTTTAAATATTTGTGCATCACAGTCTTGCCTCCTGGGGTGATTTTTATTTTTCAACTTGGTGAGGCCACACTACCCAGATATTTGGAGTAACAATATGCTAGATGTTTCCATGATGGTATTTTTACATGAGATTAACATTTAAATCAGCAGACCTTGAGTAAAGCAGATTTTCCTCCATAATGTGAATGGGCCTCATCCAATCAATCACTTAAAGGTATTAACGGATAAAAAGACTGAGTTCACCAGAAAAAAAATGAAATTCTGAAAGCAGACTGCATTGGCAACTTTTTCCTGGGTCTCCAGCATTTCAGCCTACCTTGCAGACGTTATGCTAGCGAGCCTCTACAATTACATGAGCCAATTCCTGAAATAAATCTGGGTATATGTATGTGTACACATATACAGACCCTATCCTTTTTCTCTGAAGAACCCTGACTATGACTCTTTAACTAGAATTTAATGCTTTTTTATGGAAAACTCTTGAGTGTTACATTTTTGTGTATTCTTCAGGACCCATTCTTCCATCCTGCTTCAAATATTTACAAAGCATACACTATGGACTCTCAAATAGAGGGCATCCATGTAGAACTGTGCATGTAATAGTCAATTAGTACATATATCTTCTGAGCGAATGTTAATTTTAAATTCACTCCATTAAATATCTGACATACCTAACAACCACTTTGCTTATTAAATTGCTGGTCATGGCCCTGGAACCTGTAATTCTATAATGTCTGACTTAAGACTAAAGAGTAACTTAGGTACTAGGAAAATAAGACTCAACACATAGGAATGAGTTTTGTGTTTGTTCCTATCAATTATTATTATGCCATTATTAAATATACATAACTGATTTAAAATAATCTCCATTTAAGTTGAAATAAATTTTAGTCCTGATTGATATCTTAAAAATTATTTTAGAAATTCTTGTGAAAGAACCTCTATTTTATTAAGTGCTGTTGGGGTTCTTAAGAAAAATGAAGTTGTATAGTGGCAGTATATTGGAACATAATAAAAATGCATATATAAATTTGGCTCCTGTATTTCTTTCAAAGGAAGCATATTCTAATTATAAATTCAAACAAAAATTCAGAAGGCCTGATAAATTAGAAACAAATTGCACTTTCATTGAGGTAATAGGCAGTCTAAATTATACCTCAGAGTCTGAAGAAATTGCTAGATACACAAAGTAAAATACCTCAGCGTCTGAAGAAATCGCTAGATACACAAAGTAAAAAAGATAGATAGATTGTCAAATAAAATATAAGTAGCAAATACCAAATACTGTTGTTAACAGTGACTCTTTAATGCTTTCAGATGCCAATTATCTATCTATCTCAGAAATCGTAGATTGAAAGCAAGAAATCTTTCTGCTACTGGGTATCTTGCTCTGTTTGGCTGTATTCTCTATTTCATAATATAATGTAACGTAAAAGAATTCACCTTGTCAGAAATAACACACACATCATTTCAAAGAGAAAAGATTACTTTTTCAAATGTTCTTATTGTATACAAATACATCCAGTGGAATTTTATTAACCATGATATGCCTTTAATGGGCATAGTGAGGGCTGTGCCCAGTAGTAAGCTGGTAAATGTTTGACAGCTGCGTCTCAAAACAAAACAAGTCCTAATTTGTAGTTCCGCGATTTCCTTGGTGAAATACTGATTCTAGCCAATTTTAAGCTACCAGTGTGAGGTCATTGAATTTGGAGTTGGAAAAAGATGGGCACAATCAGCTATCAAGAGCCAGTACAAACTGGCGCCAGCATGAATTGGCATCAGCATACAACTGCTTGTGCCCAGTGGCCCTCAGTGCTCCTTAATCTTAAATTATGTGAATAGTAGGACTGCACCAAGCTGTTGTGCTCAGTTATTCACAAGCATGCCATTTTGACAGTCCAATCTACTTCTTTAATTTAGGCTTGAATTTGCAAATTGTACAATTGGACACATGCTAATATTCTCAATTCTGATCACTCCTTTTAGAAGATTTAAGCATCTACATATAATAATAGCAACAACATGGCAGTATAATTGCATAGTATTTTATACTTTTTGAAGCCGCAGATGTAGATTATCTCACTTAAATTTCATAATTGCCATTAAGTAATGTGTTATTATTCCCATATTGTAGATAGGAAGAATCAGACTTAAAAAGTTCAAAAGACTCGGACCTAAGCACAAGATGAGGAAGGAGAGGTCATGGAAGCAAAAGAGCGAAATTATAAAAATAGAAGTGTCCAAGAACACTGTGGATGAGCAGGTTTAAGTTTCCATAGCTAGATTTAAAATAACACCAGACAAGCAAAAGGTTGTACATTCCTTGGTAAAATACAACAAGGTTTGACACTGGCAATTTCTGCAAGATTTATTTTCAACAAGCATGTTCACCCATAGCATTTTAGATATTTAGGGAAAAAGGCACTGGCAAATGCCAGGAATTATATTTGTTTCCTTATATAAAAAGCATATTTAATTGCTACAACACTGTAAGTTTCACATTATTTTCTGCATTTGCTATACGGGGAGACAAAAGTCAAAGAGGGTGAGTAATCTGCTCAAAGTTACATGCCTAGAAATAACTGCAATAGAAACCACATCTAAATATGTTTAGCTCTACGTTCTACAAATCCCTTTTTTCATCCTGTTTTTATCATCAATTTATACGTCAGCAAGTAAGAGGTATTCTTTCCATCTTCAGGCAAAAATTACCCTCGGCCCACATACCTGCAGTCAATACAGGAGGATATGCCAAGAACTCTAAATGAATAAACTGAATTCCTCTATCTTAAATTACATCTTCAAGCCCAAATTTCCCAATTCTTTAGACAGAACTTTTTGGTCATGTGTGTTTTTTTTTTTTTTTTTTTCACACTATAACATTAAGCAAATTGGCCAAGCATCACCAAAGAAGAAACTTAAATGCTATATTGTTAACTTCCTTTGATAAAGAGTATATTTTGTCCACTTTGCATTCATTTTAAATGTCATAGTATTTACAAAGCAGAACATGGTAGACCACATAGTTTTTGGAACATTTTTAAAAAATTAGCATTCAACACACAAACTAGAATACACTGTCCCAAAGAGGTATCAAAAATAAAAAAAAAAAAGACAACCAGATTACCCACAGAGTAGACACACCCAAAATGAGAGTCTATGGGCTAATTCAGGGCCTGAACAATCCGAAGAATGGAGAACCAGATACAATGTGAGAAGGGCTATGCACATTAACCTCGTCCTGTCATAACTCAGGTCAAAAAGGAGGAGCTGATATACAAATATCAGGTATCTCAGAATACTTGAAAGTTAATTAAAGCTTATAAGATTCGTCTTATCAATGTTGCAATGTTCACAAGGATTTCTGGAACTACTGGACCTGCAATATATGAAAATGTGTGTATTTCTTTTGCAAAACCATCAAAATGAGCTAAAAAACATCATACAATCTGTCAGAGTTTGCTGGGTATGATGTTGGGATGATAGAATTTTTCATTCAGAAATATCGTCAGCATTAAGAGTAACAATCCAAACTTTTTAGGCAAATATTTATGCTTATTCTACGCATGACTTAAATTAGATAATGTAGACTTAGTTTGAGCATACAAACCAAAAGGATTATAATACAAAATGGTACTTTAAAAATCTTTGTTTCAGAATAAGGAGTTTTTTCAGGACTTGGCATCCAGATGCCTTGAAAAAGTTACTGTATTCTGCAAATGCCCCTTTGACTAATGAATTGCAAGCCGCAATTTCTTATAAATATCTAAGTATTGAGTTTTATATGTCAAATTTGGTATTGTTACTCAAGCCTAATGGGAAGATTTTTTCATATTTTTACTTTTTAGCATTTTTAAACTTACAAAAGTGACCAATATACATTGAAGAAAACTTTAAAAATTCAAAGAAAAAGAAGTATTAAAATATAATCAATAATCCTGCACCATAGAAGTTAAACATTCATATCTATGTTTGAAACTTTATATCTCTCAATCTATGTAAACATGTATAACTTTACACCAGACCATAGTGTCTGAAATCTGCTTTTTCCCTCAGCAATATATTATCATACATTTCTCAATCATTATGATCAATTACTGCATACTAACTGGTCTTATAGACACAGAGTAATGTATTTAACCATACTTCTTTTTTGATATTTCAGTCATTTTTAACATTTTTGTGAGCATGAATGTCAGTTATCTCTCTGTACATCTTTGTGTACTTCTGCAATCTTTTTTGTATAGTATTTTAGAATTGATAAAGAAAATAAACATATAAAATTTTTTTGATGTGTCTTCTCAAATTGTCTCCTCAAAAGTTTGTACCAACCAAGTCTTAGCCAGTCAGGCCGAATGAGAGAAATATTAAATATGGGCTGGGTGTATTTAACATTTGTTCTGTTCATGTGTTTTTCACAAAGGTGCCCTTGGCCCTTCCTGACTGCCTTATGCAAAAATCAAGTACCATCCAAGTAACTGACACAACGAACCTGAGAGAAATAAAACTACTGGGAAGATTATTGAGCTCCTCCTCCAACGCCCATTAAATACGGAGGGTGAACATGCCATGTGTAACTGATTAAACCACATTTAATGAATCCCTGGGGTCCTCAGTTGCAGCCTCTGCATTCTCCTCACTTTATCCTCCCTTTTACTTCCCCAAGGGCCAATTTATTTTGAATCCTAAACACAGTGCATGTTTTTCTATCCATTCCTCCCACTAACTTGACTTAGTTACACCTTAATTTGAAAGGAAAGAAAAGCCTTCTTAACAGTATCCACCCTTTTCCTTCACTTGTTTCTTCTTTACAGTTTTGTTTTTGAGCAAATTCATGGTGAATAAATACACACATAGATTCTGGGTGCAGAAATCCTGGATTCAGGTAAAATCTCTCCTTGTGTTTGACTGTGTGCTCACAGGCAAGCCTTAGTTTTTTCCTCCATAATTAATAATGTCTTCCTAGACAGGATTTTATAAGATTTAATATATATAAATTAAAACACTTTTTAACTGCTCTGACAGTTACTTTTCCCAGTTCTCTGCCCTCCTAGCCCTTCGATAAATCCTTGGAGACAAAAATAAAGTAACTGATTCTTTCTAATCCACAGATACTAAACTATGAAGAATGAGCTATGTTTAGAATCTTCTGTTGTCTTGGTAAAATATGTCAAACATCACCCTTTTTTGTAGCCATTTAAAATAGCTATTATTGATTGATTGAAACAGCTTGGTTATTTTCTTTTCAGAATTTATAAGCTATGGGTAATATTTGCTGTTATTTGAAAGTTGTTTGCCATTCATACAATCAATACATTCTTAATATAATTTCAATGTTTATTTTCTGGATAGCAAATAGTTTCATAACCCCAAACCACCTATAGCTGTATATTTTTATTTTTTTTAATTGGGGAGTGTAATCTGTTTTTCCCACTCATGATGAAAAGGTATCAACAATAACAGGGAGAAATAAAAAGATTTAGCATTAAATGACAGTCTTCCAGACAATCATATGACATGTGAATAAAATTTAAAGAAGGATATATATTACCTTTTCATACCAGTCACTCTTCTGTCAGCTTAACATTTTGAATCTAAAGCATTTCAACAATGAGCAGTTGAACTAAATATAAAAAGGAATATATCTCAAGACTTTTTCTCTAATGCTTGGAACTTAGAAAATGTATTTTAGTTGAAAATATTTGTTTCATTCTTATGCTATTAAAAATCACAACTTAGTGAAAAGTATATTGACTAGAGTCATTTTATTAACAAAGTCTGAGATTTAAAACTGTGGTTGTATGCTTTTTTGTTTTTCTTTATATGCCTAATATATTTAATATACTTGATATCAAGGTATTTTAGAAGTATTTAAAAAATTATCTAGACTCCTTAGGTTAACCCCTTCATATTTTGTCTACACATTATGATGGAAGTAAAATGATACAGAACTCAGTGGTTTATGAGATTATGAAAGCACAGTTAATGACTACCTGCCAACTTACTTAAGTTTCAAAATAAATCCTCTTTGACTTAGTTTTCTCACGTCAACAAAAAAAGTAAATGGAAACATTGAGAGAATGTGCCTTTATATAGATCAATTTAAAAAAACAACCCTTCATATCTGCCCTTTGTTAACAAGCATGTGAAAAAAATAAATATAAGTATTAGAAACATGTTTTTCATTTATGAACATATACAAAAGAAATGAGATCATGACTGCAATGCTGAAAACAAAAGTACTGAAATAGATACCTGATTTCATTGGAATAACAGATGCTTGACTAATTCAAGATATCAACAAGGATGTGAAAACAGTAGGCTATAAAGTCACCCCATGATGCGGCAAAGCTTGGAATTTGTAAAAGATGCAGTTCACTGAATTGCTAGCTTAATTGCGTGAACTGCTGTTGCTATTAAAACTAGATTTTTAAAACTTTGATTTCTCTATTGCATCACCACCCACAGCTTAAAGTATACTAATTATAGTTATAATTTAAAAACACTAGGCACTGTAACAATTCTAATACTAACACATGAAAAAATATCTACATTATAGGAAAAATTATGATATTCTCTCTGAACTACTCTTTTTTTGAGGGTGAGAAAGGGAAGTTCTTGTTTCTTTCTTCTAGATTCATTCTCATTGCTTTCATGTTTCAGGCAATGCCAAGGCTGGTTTCATAAATATGTAAATCTAGGTAATTGTCTCAGACTAATCTGATCTCAATTAAGTTACTTAGCAGGAATGTACCACATGGAGTGGCCTGTCAGTAGGTTTAAAACCATAGATTATCAGCAAAAATAACTTTCTGTAATAGAGGTCAAAGGGACTAGATTGAGAACTGCGGGAAAGGAGAATCTGCAATATCCAATATTATTCATCCAGAAATTATTCACTATTTGTTTATGGACTAGCAGACAGATAAACTATCTGAGGGCTAGCACAAAAATTAATTATGAAAAGACAAAAATTAACCCTCCCCAGGAAAATGGCATTTATGTACAAGTCTTTTTGTGATGCCAATGATCTCTCTCTTTGCCTCTGTCTCTTTTCCCCCTCAGTGCCCTATCACACTAGGTTAATTGTATTCCTTTTAGCTGGCAGCTTTCAGATCCGCTGGGTGGCTAGGTGTGCCCTTTGTGTTAACAGGTAACACAAGCCAGATATGCTTCTATGCTTCTATCTGGCTACACTCAAACCAAATACAGGGGATTTTAAACATGGAGTTCTGCCCTTTGTTAAAAAAAAAAAAAGCATGTGAAAAAAAATATATAAAATAAAAATATCCTGGACAAATTTAGATTATGATTTTATTTGTCGATTTGAGAAAGATCCATGGAAATAGCCAAACAGTTTTCTTGATCATTCACATTTCTGGTTTATTGGCCTGTTCTCTATTTTGGAATCTCTGTTTTGAGCCTTTTTTTTTTTTTTTAATCTTTTGGATTCTTCTTCTCTATTTTCTTTTTAAGAACTCTGTTGGGCTTTTTAAAGCTCAACCCAAAGGACCTGAGCTTTCCATTATGGGATATGTCCTATGTTGGCAAACCAAGGGCATAGGAATGAGATGAGTAGGAGGAGGGAGAGATGGGGAAGGCTGATTTTACTTGGTTATGCTAAAGGAGTTTGACTAGTTCAACCTCAACTCTCCAAGACATGAAATTTGGAGCTAAAGCACAAACAATAATAAAGTATTTATTTGCTACATATGGCAGATGTGTTCTCTGAACCTATTGTCTTCAGAATTCTGCAGTGGGTGGCAGGAAGTTTTTATCTTGACTTGGTAATTATCAAATGTATGATCTGTCTCCTCTCCCCCAACCCCACATACTCCACAGGGAATTTTAAGTATTTGATATCACAGACAAATATTTAGATCACAGTTAGGGTTACTAGGGTTTTGTCTGCATATTTTATTAGTAGTTTGGACCGTTCAAAATTATTCCAGCTATTTCTTATTCTAGGTAACAAGTTAATGAGTGCACAACTTGCCACACTCTTATTTTCTGACGTCTACCGAGATTGGCAGCAATGTTCACGCCTGCTGTTTCAACCTAGGCTCCAATGTGAGGAAAACAGCCATGCACAAAACAGCCACCAGCCAACCCATGATACACACACAATCTGTGAACAAGAAATAACCTCTTCTGTTTTAGGCAACTGAAATTTTAACTTTGTTACCATTAGCATAACCTAGCCTGTCCAGACAGCTACATGAAAAAAGTACGAAGAAATTGTGTTTTGGCCTTAAATACAAATGTCTATAGCTGAAAATATGTACTTAATCTAGATTTGTGTGCCAGATTTGTGTATTAGTAGAAATAGAATATTTTGATATGTATTAGTAAAGTTTGATAACTAGTATACACATTAGGTTCATATAGTACGTCTATATTTTGTTAAGCATTAATGTATAAACTGGGGAATAGATGGTATTTCTCATGCAACAGATAAAAATGTTTCACAACATTCCCATGTTAAATCATACAAGAAATATGAGCAAAAACATCAGGTTCTTACACAAAGGGAGATAATAACAAAGCACATGAGTGAAACCAAAATAACTTAAAAACAACATACTGTATGATATCTCAAAGCATTGAATTTTAAGTGCCTCGTGAAAACACCTTCTTCAAATTTCTCTCAAAATAAGTTCCCTTGAGTCCTACGTGTGAACATGCATTTAACAAATTCCCTTTCCCCCTTGAAAATGCAAATGCTGCTACTCATCCCCACCTACTTAGCTAAACATCTTCTTTGGCAACAACTATTGGGACAATTTCATTAGTCCTGTATTGCAAAAGTTGTGCAATAGAATTTGAAAGCATGAGTAAGATTTGTTAACCTGACTGATGCTTGACTTATTTTTCCCCTTTCAAATACTATTCCTGTACATGATGGGAAAACCTATTTAACATAGACAATAACATTGATTTCATTTTTGATGGGCACAAAGATGATGGGGTTCAGGACAGCCTACCACAAAATATAACAGTGGCATTTGAGGAAACAACAGAAGCAAGCCCTCAAAAATTTCCCACGCTTCTCCCCTAAAGCAGGCCATAAAACCTAGGTAACCTTCCCCTAAAAATGGGTCATAGGCCCTGCCCTATACCTAGGGCAAAGGAGTGAAACACAGAGATACCAAGAAGAATCTGAAGAATATGGAGAGGCCTTGCTAAGCCTCCCCTCCCACCTGGGATTTCTAAATCATACCCCCTTAAGTCCAATCATGTTTCTCCTCAACTGTCCACTTCTTCTGACTTAGCATAAAATGTACACAATTTTTCCTGTTTATTTGAATCTTCATTTCTGAAGGCTCCCATGTCACACACACTAAATTTGTAGGCTTTTCTCCTGTTAACCTGTCTTTTGTTATAGCAATGGCAGCCGTAGAATAGCAATGGGTAAGGAAAGATACTACTTTTTCTGTTCTACAAAGAAACATACTGTAACTTGGAACACGAAAAGGTTTGAATTATTCCCCATTAACTTTCAAGTAAAAAAGTAAAACACACTTCACCAAATTATGAATTTTTTTTTTTTTTTAACTTTTAAGTTGAGAGGTACATGTGCAGGTTTGTTACATAGGTAACCTACGTCATGGGGATTTGTTGTACAGATTATTTCATCACCCAGGTACAAAAGCTAGTACCCATTAGTTATTTTTTCTCACTTCTCCCTCCTCCCACCTTCCAGCCTCCAATAAGCCCCAGTGTGTGTTGTTCCCCTATACGCCTGCATGTTCTCATCATTTAGTTCCCACATACATATTATAAGTGAGAACATGTGGCATTTAGTTTTCTATTCCTGTTTTAGTTTTCTATAGATAATGGCCTCCAGCTCTACCTATGTCCCTGCAAAGGATGTGATCTCATTCTTCTTTATGGCTGCATAGTATTTCATGGTGTCCATGTACTACATTTTCTTTATCTAGTCTATCACTGATGGACATTTAGATTGATTCCATATCTTTGCTATTGTGAATAGTGCTGCAATGAACACGAGTGCATGTGTCTTTATAATACAACAAATTTGTATTCCACTAGGTATATACCCAGTAATAGAATTGTTGGGGCAAATGGTATTTCTCTTCTTAGGTCTTTGAGGAATCGCCAGACTGCCTTTCATAACGGTTGAACTAATTTACACTCCCATTAACAGTGTACAAACCTTCCTTTTTCTCCACAATCTTGCCAGCATCTGTTATTTTATGACTTTCTAATGATAGCCATTCTAACTGGTATGAGATGGTATCACATTGTGGTTTTGATTCATGTTTCTCTAATGATTGGTGATGTTGAGCTTTTTTTACATATGATTGTTGGCCAAATGTATGGATTATTTTTGAACAGTGAATTTTGAAAGTGGTTAGTGAAAGTGCTATTCAATGCTATTCCTATTAAACTAACATTGAGATTCTTCACAAAACTGGAAAAAAAATTTTAATTTATATGGAACTAAATAAGAGCCCAAAGAGGCAAGGCAATCCTAAGCAGAAAGAAGAAAGCTGGAGGCATCACGCTACCCTACTTCAAACTATAGTATGGTGATACAATAACCAAAATACCATGGTTCTGGTACAAAAACAGACACATAGACCAACAGAACAGAATAAAGAACCCAGAAATAAGACCGCACACCTACAACTATCTGATCTTTGAAACACCTGACAAAAACAAGCAATGGGGAAAGCAGTCCCTATCAACAAGTGGTGCTAAAATAACTGTCTAGCTATATGCAGAAGACTGAAACTGGATCCCTTCCTTATACCATATACAAAAATTAAATCAAATGGATTAAAAACTTAAATGTAAAACCCAAATCTATCAAAAACCTACAAGACACCCTAAGCAGTACCATTCAGGACACAGGCACAGGCAAAAATTTCTTGATGAAGACACCAAAAGCAATGGAACAAATGCAAAAATTGACAAATGGTATCTAATTAAACTAAAGAGCTTCTGCATTGCAAAAGAAACAATCAACAGAGTCAGCAGACAACCTACAGAATGGAAGAAAATTTTTTAAACTGTTCATCTTGGAAAGGTCTAACATATCTAGCTTCTATAAGGAACTTAAGAGATTATTGTTCTTTATTTAAAAAGTGGCAAGATATTCTATGGACATTTAAAATACATAATTTGACTACAGGAGAATTCTAGATAAGCGTTGATGAGCTATGAATGGAACTCCACTCCTTATGCTTGGGAACATTCTTCTCTAAATGCAGAAATGCATATTTGGCATGCAGCAAAAACACTCAAATTTTAAAAAAGAAAGCCTGAATCATGCTGCTTCTTTCTTCAGGGCTCATCTGGCCATCCGGATGGTTGAAGGTTTTTTGTATTTGCTTTCTCCCATAGTTCGGGTAAAGAACATAATGAAACGTCAAATTATTTAACAACTTATTGTTCTAGCAAATGATATGGAACTTAAAGTCTTATTTGAAAGAACCCTCTTCAAAACTCCTTGAGATTTTTTTTTCTACAAAATAAATAAGGGAGGTATCACGTAATTTCCAAGTGACTCAAGCTCTCTGTTGGTGACACCTATTACTTTTTTATAGCTCTGTTACACTGCAGAGTTTAAATGTTTCTTGTATTCAAACACTATAGTTTCGTGGGAACAATATTAGAATTGGGATCAGAAGTGTTCTAGTTTGTGGCTTAAGGAGTGAAAATTGACCAGATGAAAAGAAAAATTACCTTTCTTTACCCCATACTACTCACAGGATAACAATGTATTTCCTTTTCTTTTAATCCTTGTTTAACAAATAGGTATGAGTTTCTCAGATGTAAATAAGAGAAGAACAAAAAAAGGAATTGATTTGCCCCTTTTTGTTTTCTGCATTGTTATCACTTCCTTAATTTGAGGAACAATCATCTGGATTTCCACACCTGATGAAAGTAGCAGCAGAGTTGAAACTATGTTTACAGAGGCCAGCATCAGGCTTTCTCAGTAAAGACCTTAAACTGAAATCCAAGGAAAGAGTGTAGCCCCACAGAGTTCATTATGCTTTTCTTCCTTCAGCCAATAGTTTCTTCCAGAAGTTTTCCAATGGGAGTAATGGTGGCTAAGCCTGTGGGGAAATTGCTATGGCAGTTCTATTTCATGGATACAATAACCATTTGCTTTCAGCAAGGGGTCTCTTATTGTAGATATAACTCCATGAGCCCTTAGTAGTTGATGAGTCCTGAAAGAATGCAGCTCTGCTTCGCTTTAATTTCATTTCTGTGAGTTTCTTTTTGTGTGCATACTACCTGTGTGTATACACATGATTTAACGTGATTAGAGTAATTATTCATTTTATAAATTTTAGCAAGACATTTAACCCAACATATCCAAAAAATTGTTTCAGTATGTAGTCATAGAAATGTTATTACTGGGATATTTTACTTTCTTTTTCCATAGTAAGACTTTAAAATCCAGCATGAATTTTAAAATTACATCTCATCTCATTGCAGACTAGCCATGTTTCAAGTTTTCAACAGCCTCATGTAGCTAGTGGCTACTGTAGTAGACAGTGCAACTCTACAGTCTACCTATGTTTATATTTTAATTTATATACATGTTGGCTCAAAAATAAAATTATGTTATAACATGAGCTAGCTAACACACTCGGTTATATGAAATGACGGTCTCTATTTACCTATTTGAAAGTTCTTTATTGTTTTATACATAAAATGAATAGCTTTTCCAATCAAGCATTGCAAAATTTTAGTTTACAAAAAAATGCATATACATTTGTCCTGCAACCGATTGATTTTTTAATTGACAAAATAATTGTATGTATTTTGGGGGTTACACAGTGATGTCTTGGTACACATATATGTGTGTGTATATTTATATGTACACACACAGTGATTTGATTGGGGAAATTAGCATAACTGTCATCTCAAATATTTATCATTTCTTCTTGTTAGGAATGTTCAGGATCCTCCTTCCAGCTATTTGAAACTGTATGTTATCGTTAACTATAGTCATCCTACAGTGCAATATATAGAACACTGGAACTTACTCCTCCTATTTAGATGTTATTGTGAATCCTTTAACAAATCTCTTCTTATCCTTCCCTTCTCTCTGCCCTTCCCAGCCTCCAGTATCTGTTCTTCTTACTCCTATGAAATCAACTTTAGTTTCCACATATGAGAACATAAAATGTTTAATTTTATATTCCTCATTTATTTCACTTAAGAATGTCTTGCAGTTTTTTCCATGTTACTGCCAGTGACAGGATTTCACACTTTTTATGGCTGAATATAATTCCCTGGTGTATGTGTACCAATTTTTTATTCATTCATCTGTTGTCAGACACCTAGATTGATTCCATATCTTGGCTATTGTGGATACTGCTGCAATAGATACCAGGATACATATGCCTCTTTCATATAATGATTTATTTTCCCACTTGTGGGATTGCTGGATCATATGGTGGTTTTATTTGTAGTTTGAGGAAACTCCATACTTTTCTCCATAGTGGCTTGGCTAATTTACATTCCCGCCAACAGAGTATAAAAGTTCCCTATTCTCTGCAACCGCCCCAGCACTGTGTTTTGTATTCTTGATAATAGCCATCCTAACTGGAGTGAGATGATACCTCATTATGGCTTTGATTTGCATTCCCCTGATGATTAGTGATGTTGAACATTTTTTCATATATTTGTTGGTCATTTGTATGTCTTCTTTTGAGAAATGTCTGTTCTGATAATTTGCCCATTATTAATCAGGTTGGTTCTTTTTTGCTGTTGAGATATTTTAGTTCCTTACGTATTCTGGATATTAATCTCTTGCCAAATGAGTCATTTGCAGATATTTTCTTCCATTCTATACTTGGTGTTTTCACTCTGTTGATTAAAAAGAGTCTGCACAGCAAAATAAATAATTTGATGTAATTCCATTGGTTTATTTTTGTTGCCTGTTTTTGAGGTCTTATTCTTAAAATATTTTCATAGACCAATGTCCTGAAGCACCTCCCATATGTTTTCTTCTAGTAGTTTTATCCTTTTGGGTCTCACATTTCGGTCTTTTATCCATTTTGAGCTTATTTTTGTATAGGGTGAGAGGTAGGGCATCTAGTTTCATGCTTCTGTAAATGGATATCCAATTTTTTCATCACCAGTTATTAAAGAGATTTTTCCTTCCCCAAGATGTGTCCTTGACACCTTTGTCAAAAAATCAGTTATCTGAATCTATGTGGACTAATTTCTGTGTTCTCCAATCTGTTCCATTGGTTTGTGTTTCTGTTTTTATGCCAGTATCACACCGTTTTGGTCACTATAGCTTTGTAGTATATTTTGAGGTCTGGTAGTATGATACCTCCAGCTTTGTCCTCTTTGCTCAGGATTGTTTTGGCTATTTGGGTTCTTTGAGCTCTTTCCTACATCTATTGTTTAAAATATGTTCATTATATTTAGTTCCATATCTTGCAGTACAATTAGGAATCCTACTGTGTTTGAATGCATGAGCACTGCTGTATTACATACTTACCACTCAACTTTTTATCTTCCTTTTGCTTTATTTTGATTTTGGAATAATCTCTCCTAGACTGAAATGTAGAAAATTTTCACAGACAAACAGAAAAAATCAGAACAGATGCACCTTGTTATAAGATCATCATTCTACCTGCACTGTTTGTGTCACAATGTAAAAAAAGCTATTGTCCCAAACTGTTGCTATAACTTAAAACAAAAGCAAATGCATCAGTATTGTGGGAAGCCTAGAAACACAACCTTTGATTCACTGAGCACGCCATCCATTAACCAAAACTTTATGTGCTTTGGAAGCACAGGAAACTAAAACAACCTTTCCAGTCATTTATCAAACATCATGAATCTATCATTTCAAGATAAGAGTAAAACAATAAACACCAAGTTGGAGAAGTGAACCAATATATAGCATTTTTCTTCCGTTTATTCAACTTCTCCTACATTCTTCTCAGGAAGAAAGAAAAATATATTGAGACTGAGCCTGTTTGATACTGAGAAGGGACAGCACACAAATAACAGCATGTAGTCAATAGATGCGGCACAAAGTATAACATTGTTTCCTATTAATTCGATAACTGGAATAAACTCTTGTATAGAATATGTACATAACACGTGGGATTTAAATATGTGGAAAAAATCACTTTTTCTTTTTCATATTTTATTGAATTTTGCTTCATAAGGGATAATAGAAAATTTATGCATCAATCAGTAAATATGATAGTAATCATAAAAATGATATCATAGGCGTGTGGATTTATCTAATAAACATATACAGATGTCTCAGATTGATGGTGAAAAGATCTATATCTACCATGCTTTGAGATTTAAAAAATAAATTCTTATTTTTCAGACATGTGTTTTTTGAATACAGTCTGTGGTGATCATCCACATAGGATGTTAAAACCCAAGATACTGCATGAAGATAACATTTTTTTGCTCTTTCCTTGCTTTAAATCTGTTTTAATATTTGAATTATATACATTTAATTTGCTAATCATATCCTATTGTTTTCATATTTCTATCTCCCCTAAATTAATACCTATATCTTGTCAATCACTGTTCAATCTTCTTGCTACGTAAGATCAATGGCATGCAAATTTCTGTGATTTACAACCCTTATCTTATTCCATTAATATTTGCATCTTCAATTTCAGTTCCTGGCTGCCTCCCAACTCTCTCTAACTAAATTGTTTTAAGATGACTATCGGATATCTAGGTACTCATTATTTCTGGAAGCTGTCTCCTACCTTTCAACGTTTACATGATATATACAGCTGTCAAAAACATGGACATAATCCCAGGCATTGAGATTTCTACTAAGAAACATATTAAGGCTGTCACTGGAATAGTTCTTGAGAAAAGACTTAAGAGATTCTGAATAGTGGTCACAAACTTAATTTCTTTCTAAATTTTGTTAGATTCATAAATAGCAGAGAAGAATGTCATGTGAAAACTCTAAGGTCAGTGATAAGGTTTTTTTATGACCTATTAACAGATATACTGCAGAAATTGTCATGAATTTATCTAGAATAAAATTTTTGTATCTCCAATGAGCATGAAGAACTAAAAATTATGAAAGGATTTTGAATCCTTTAAAAATATAAAAACATGCCTAAAGTAAGTGTCAGATTCACATGTGTTCTTGGAGATTTATTTTTTAAGTTTGGTAAAGGCAATGACAGCCATATAAACATAAAATGGCAGGTTTTTGGTCTGGTCATTTTTGCTAAAAAAAAAAAAATCAAAGTTTGATTCTGTGTTCAACTACAATAGCTCTTATTTCAGACATCTAGTAACACCTAATTCTCTTTTAAAGTAATTTTTGATTTTTAGTCACCTCATTTTAACATTTAATATTCCAAGTTGTTGAAAATCATATGACAATTAAGTCCAATCAACTACTGAACATTCATTCACATTTTTATCTATTTTATCAGTTGAAGATTTTTTAATCAAAACATAATATGACATGAAAATCCAGAAAACCTAAACTATGTTTTGCATATTTAAGGAAGTTAAGTTCTAATGCTATTTTAAATAGGTTTGAATAATTTGCTCAAATAATTAAAATAAGTTACACAAAATACTAACAATAACATGAAGTTCTCAGCCAGCAACATTGTAGCCATATAAATACATGGTGTTTTTCCAACCCTGTTGTAACACTTGTGCAAAATTTCACCCCTGATCATTTCACTTGTCATTTCCTCAAACGCTTCTGGGTTTGAAAATGCCATTCATAGAAATGTTAGTGCAATTCAGCAGAGATCACAGCACTATGAAGCCAAAGGGACCTGACAGACCTAGCAGCTCAGTCCCCTAAATCACAAATGAGAAAACTGATTCCTAACAACGTGATTTTCTTAATATCCCAGAGTCAATTCAGATAAAAACCAGAACTAGGACCCAAGTATGCTTATTTTTTCATTTCAGTGCTCTTCCTATAACTACACCAAGTACAAGTGCTAAAAAGTACTATCCAGTTTTTACATACTTGAACTCTCACGTGTAACAAAAGGTGTACATATCTGTTCATCTTTATTTTATACAGCTATATAATGATATATGTGTGTGTATTACATAGAATTTTAAAACATGTATATGTATATTTATAAACGTACGCTATGTATAATTTTATAGTTAGTGAAACAATTTACTATCACACATATTTGAATAAAGTCATTATTGGTACACAAAAGTAGGGGTGTTATTAGATATATCTTGTCTTCCTATAATAATTGGTTTATCAAAAAATTATTGACATTGTTCTTTTGTTATTTTTTCTCATTAATGCACAGAAGCATTTCTAGAATTGATTCAGTATAATAAATACCAAGCAGTGAATAATTGGATCAAATGGAGCAATATAAAAGTCTCTTCTACCTTTTTTTTCACCCATTCTTTCAATCAACACTTGTAGGTATAAAATTACCTGTCATTATTGCTACATCACATAGAAACAGTAGAAAGCAACACTGATATTAAGAATTCTAGCAGGAGAGTTACATATGAATCAAGTCACTAGTGAAATAAATATATTTAAACTGTGACAATTCAATGAGAATTAAGTAGAATGTACTAAAAGACTATCACAGCAAGATCTGACCTTGTCTTGAGGCTTAGAAAAGCTTATCCTGAGAGAGCACTGCTCAAGCTCCATCTGAAGGATGGGTATAAAAGGAACATTTTCATCAGAAGTGGGGAGCCACACCACAGCAGCAGGAGAGACAGGATAGTGAGTTCCAGGCAAGTCAGACTGAAAAGAGCACAGAACGCAAAACGGGGAAGCGTGGTGCAGTCTAACCTGCGTGAGGGAGAAAAACTTCAAGATGAATAGGCAACGTGGGCAGGGAACAGATACTGCAGAGCCGCATAGGCAGGTTAAGGACTTTGTTTTCCCCTTTCTCCCAAGAGATGACACAAGCTGGTGAAGGGGTCCTCAGTTGGAAATGTAAAGAAAGCATTTCTGTTGTAAGAGACAACCTCAGTTGTAATGTAGACAGCAGAACGGAGGAGGCATATGGATGTAAACACGTTAATTGGGTAGTTATTATAGCAGTAAATGGGAGATATGTTGGTAGCTTTGACTTAGTGTCAGAGAAGTTGTGAAGCAGACAGAGCTGAGATATTTACAAGAAAATATCATGGATTTAATGGACAAGATTCGTGATGGGTTAGACACTGAGTGAATCACAAAAGAGGCCTTAAGGATTACAGGTATGTTTTCACCTGCTAAATGTAATCATGTATGGTATCCTTTATTGGGATAAGACCAGAGAACAGGCATAGACATGGGGGAGAGTACATATCATCAGTTTGCTTTTGGATATATATAGATAAGGAAAAAGATTATTTTTTATTTTTTTCCATTGGCCAAAGGTAGCTTTTATTATTTGTATGTCAGCTTTGAAGGTGCAAAGGCTTAAGAATAATAACTTGTTGCTTTAAAGTTCTTTCTCTACTAAGAAGTAGTAACACGTTTAGTAAATCACTTAGTCTCACTTACTTCTTAGTCTCATTGACCTTCAGTTTTCTCATTGATAAAATGGGGAAAATAATCATAGTACTTATATCACAGTGTTGTTAAAAGGCCAAAGAGATATGAATATGCAACACCTTCATAAAATTGTAATCTTAGACTGGACTCAGTGACACTCATCTGTGGTCTCAGCAACTTGGTAGGCTGAAGTGGGAAGATTGCTTGAACCCAGGAGTTCAAGGACAGCCTGGTCAACATAGCAAGAACCCATCTCTAATAAAATAAAATCATAATATTTATAATAATACATATTTTTATATTTCTGGGTATCTTTAAAAAGTGTGAGGTATTCTATCTCTGAAAGGCAAGCCAGATACAATTCTAAATGTCAGTTGATATAAATTTACAAAATCAAAAGTCCATATTACAATGTTCCCAACATGAAAAATATATAAAACATTTTTTAAATCCCAGATATTTATCCTCAGATTCTTAAAGATCCTCAGAAAGACAATACCTAAAGGACCTCCTTGGAGCACCCTATGTGAAAAGATATTTCCTACATGCCCCACATATTAGTTTTTGTTAATATTGTTGGGGGTGCTTTTGGTGCAACAGGTACTGTTTTAACCAAGTTTATATATATTGACCCATTTAATCCTCAAAATAATCATATGAAAGATTTGTAATTTTTATTCCCAATTTCCTGGGGCACACAGAAGTTATACAACAGGCTTAAGGTTGAAAAGCCAATACATTAAAAAGTTAGAATTTAAACCCAGTCAATTATTTCAGGAATTACATTCATATCTTTATGCTAAATTCTGACCTACATTCCACCTCATCACTTCAGGGTAATAAGTGCTACAGTATTTTATATATCTGAAGCCAATCAAACCCAGTGTGACTTTCATTATTTACTTGTGAGAGAGTAAATTAAGATTCTCAACTACCTTAGCACAATGTCCACCACAACCATTAGTAAATGTGTTATCCCTATTTGTGAAAACACTAACAGATAAGAGATTGAATATTGAATATTCTATGAAATTAAGGATATACTATTTTAACAATGTTAAGGTATGAGAAACAGTTTTTTTCATGTCTATCACTGTCTTCTTATATTATTTATGGTGGATTTGAATACTAAAACATCTACTATTGGTTTGCTCAACAGCTATTTAATATAATAAATAAGAAAGGCTTGTTCTTCTAACTATCTCACAATTCTATTAACATTGCTCTGTGGATCATGCCTACATACACAGAAAAGAAAGAAGGGATTATATGAAGTATCTGCTGCTGTTGCTCAGGGAAATCTTCAACTATGACATGAGATAATCTCATGAAGTATCCAATTGACATATAATTATACACAATTTATAAATGTATCGCTTTGACCAATTACTCTTTACTCTGTCCTAAGTGCACTTCCACTTGTAACTACTAGAAGGGATGACTGTTGAACTTCTCAAAAGCAAAGTTATTCTTAGCACGGTAGTGCTTTGAAAGAACCAAAGTTGAATTTCATGCACTTCTTGGTTAAATAAAAGTACCCAAAAGAAATTCATCCAATCAAAATCACTAAATTTTCTTGCTTTCCATTTTCATCTTCATTACATGAAGCGTTTAAGAAAGTCAAACGAGGGGAGGATACTGGCAGACAAAGTATATTAGCATCTCTTAAGAAAGAATCACCAACACTTTTATAAAGGTCAGGCTAGCTATTATATTTTTACTTAGTTTTGATTTAGAAGTAGAATAAAAATCGAATAAAACAGTCAAAGGCCAAAGTAGAAATAAAGAAATGGCTAGCAGTGTGGAAAAGAGAAAGAGAGTGAGAAATGAAGGAAAAATGAAATTACTATCTAATGTGTACATACATTCTGGTTGCCCTAAAAATGTGCACTTATGGAATGATTTTAAATACTGTAAAAATACTAGAATATGGCTGGGCACTGTGGCTCATGCCTGTAATCCTAGCACTTTGGGAGGCCGAGGCGGGGGGATCACCAGGTCAGGAGATCAAGACCATCCTGGCTAACACGGTGAAACCCAGTCTCTACTAAAAATACAAAACATTAGCCGGGCATGGTGGGGGGCGCCTGTAGTCCCAGCTACTTGGGAGGCTGAGGCAGGAGAATGGCGTGAACCTGGGAGGCAGAGCCTGCAGTGAGCCGAGATTGCGCCACTGCACTCCAGCCTGGGTGAGAGAGCTAGACTCTGTATCAAACAAAAACAAAAACAAAAACGAAAACAAAACAAAACAAAACAAACTAGAATATTTAACAGTATGCTCTGGAAAATTTACAAACTCAAAATTACATTAAGCAAGTCAGGTGTAATTCGTCTTACTGCTACCTCATAGAAACTTTTCATAATGTCTCTAAACACATTCACAGCTGTCACAAGACTCACTGGGTCCTCTTCAATTATATGTTGCTATGTTCAGGTTGTTATTTACTGCCCAGATGGTACTTTTTAAATAATTGCAAGGTAAATTTCTCACTTATTTGAGCTAACATCTAATATTATTTGGGGGTAAGCTTACTTTTAGGCGTGCTTCACATTGATCTGCTTGACCTACTCTACCGAACATTCCAATTGTGAATCTTGTTGCATTGCATGACTTCTCAGTTACAGAGAAAAAATGCTATAGGTTAAAATTTAGTAATGAATTTATGAAATGTTCTCAGTATATTCACAGTTTTCATTCTTGAAATGTTCAGGAATCATTATAGATGTTGAAAATAAAATATATCTCATTTAATTCAACAACCCATTGAGGAATTATCACCATTTTTACAGATGGTAGACATGAGTTTTAAGAAGGCTAAATAAAAGTCTGACACCTTGGGAGATAGTGTGAATTATATGGAAAGAAGAAGTAAGAAGTTAGGTTTTATTGTGTTTTTAATCCTCCATAAAGACATTAGTAAAACAAATTAGATTAATAAGGATATACACACAATCTATAGAGATTCAGAGGTGGCAACACACACACATACAAAAAAACAAATCAGACAGAGGGTAAATATATAATTTTTCCTTTAGGAAACATTTCAAAGATTTTTGCAGGAGAGGGAAATGCTTTTGTGCCTTTTCCTGATTTACAGAAATTAACAGATTTAATTTCAACTTGAAACTTACTTTTCTATAATATACCAAGAGATAGTTTAATAATTTCCAAGCACAATATGGAAGTCTTCTTATGTGTTGAAATATGAACACATAAAACCTTTTTGCATTACTAATAAAGTAGTTGGTCTCATATGGCTATCCCAGGGAGCGTAAAATGAAATACATATTCATATATCCTCTATTTACTAATTTATAAGGCAGACATTGAATATTTAATATCTGTATGAATTAATAGAAAAGCTATAATGCCAACAAAATGGATAGGCTATGCTTGAACAACTCTTCACTCGCCTATCTCCCTCACAGCTGTCTATCTGCAAGAGATGTAATAGATAAGGGCTGGAAGTTTAAAAGGACTTACATTTTCTTCAGCTCAAGAGCCTCTAATAAAAAGCATTTGTCCTATATCCAAGATTTCCATGACATAGCATTATCCAGTATGTTGAATTACTTGATAGAGAATCAGTGAAAAGAGGTGATACCGTATCTTAAAATCAAATACCATCGGATTTCAAACTAAAAGGAATTCTAATATAAAGTTCAAATACCTCTCACAAATTTACTTAGACAACCTCTTCATTAAATCGCTAGTTTATCCTGCTAGATTGACAAATAATATGGACACATTAATGAAAAGTGGGGCATGAAGAGAGTGGGAAACAACCTTGGTTGAAGTGGTACAGGGTAACAAGCAGAGAAGAGAAACCGTATGCTTGATACACATTTTCTGTAAATATCCAAAGATTTAAACCAAAATGGGAAGACTGCAGCTGAATATTTCACTTTTTGCCTCGGAATGTGGCATCTGTGTGCCTAAGGCTTTCCACTCCAGAACACAGATTTATTTGCCATGTTTGAATCTCTTAAGATTCCTCTCTGTGATTCATTTTTCTCTCAACCGCTCTGCAGAAAACTAAATTCTCTTGCACTCGCTACAGAAAGTTTTTATCAACAATAACACCACAGTACAGAGATTATTGCTTTCAGCTGCATGGGCAGATGTAAGCACACTCATGTCTAACTTGCTAATTGAATAGATCTATAAATTATCTATGAGTCACAAATAGAGATCCTGCAAAAGAAGTAAATGGCATGCTTGAATTAGCTTTCCTATTTTCCTCAATCTCTTACATTTTTAAACTTTTCTTCACATCCTAGCGGCATATTTTATGTTGCTGTTACTCTTTTTCTTTTTTTTCCTTCAGTTGCTTTTTTAAATAATTCATTTCCCTTGGTTTTGGATTTTATTTTTGAAATTGATACCAGTTTATTTTCTGTTTACTTAAAAATCACTGCTATAGAAAATACTTACTGAAAATGTGTGTGAAAGTTAATTGAGAACCCTGACTACTAAAATGTGCTATGTTTCAATTCTGTGATGGTCATCCCATTATTACTCACAGGTTTCTTTAAATATTTTGTGAAGTAAAAACCTTACCATCATGAAAACTCAACTTACGTTTTTACAACACGGTCAATTTTCCTCATTTCTTGATGTTTGAAGTTTTTTATTTTTTATTTTTATTTTTTTTAGACAGGGTCTTACTCTTTCACCCAGGCTGCAGTGCACTGGCTCACTGCAATGCAACCTCTGCCTCCTGGCCTCAAGCTATCCTCCTGTGAGATCCTTTCTTAAATAAATACTAGTCTTGTTTGAAATTCAGGAAGTCATATTTCATTAATTTTTTTTTTTTTGAGATGGAGTTTCACTCTTGTTGCCCAGGCTGGAGTGCAATGGCATGATCTCAGCTCACTGCAACCTCAGCCTCCCGTGTTCAAGTGATGCTCCTGCCTCAGCCTCCCAAGTAGCTGGGATTACAGGTGCATGCCACCATGCCCGGTTAATTTTTGTATTTTTAGTAGAGATGGGGTTTCATCATACTGGTCAGGCTTGTCTCGAACTCCTGACCTCAGGTGATCTGCCTGCCTCGGCCTCCCAAAGTGCTGGGATTACAGGCATGAGCCACCGTGCCCAGCCATATTTAATTGATTTCTACGGGGAAACATATATACTGATTGGCTTGGGCTACAGTCTGAAATTTGTATATGGTTAAATAAAAGTTCATACACTAAGGGTATGAATTTGCTTCTTTGCGCCCATGGTGGAACCCATTGCCTACCACTCATTTCAGGTGAAGTTGATTGTTTCACTTGTCTACTACCAAACTTCAATCTTGAACCCTTGTAATGAAGAATTTTGTCACCTGAAATCGAATGTCTTTAAAATGCTACTATTATGTCTTACTTAGGAGGAATAATAGTTTATATAGAAAAGCAAGATCATTAGTCACAAAGTCAAGACGTACACATAATGTATATTACAGGGATCAGCTTAGAAAGAAACATTTTAGAAAATACACATTTTAGGTAGAAAGTTATAATTGTACTCAAGAAAGAGTTTTAAGTTTAAAACTAGACAAGTGATATTAAGTGTAGAGGATAACAGTGGGGAGAAGTCACAAATGGGAAGATAAACAATGAGATTAAATGTCATGTAGGTAAGTAAGATTGTCTCAGTCAAAAGTTCAGGAATGAATACATGAGTGCCTAAGGCATGACTAGTGTGGTAGCCTTTATAAAGCTTATAGAAATTATGCTGGACCTGATGACAGTTACAAAATCTCTCTTGAGCCCTGTACTAAAGCTTCCCAGGTATGAGTGAGGAGATGCTTGGAAAATTTTATTTGATATCCAGTATGCCCCGAGTGATAGTGATACCTCCAGCCAATTCACCTGGTAATGAATAGATCAAACTTTGGAGCCATTGAGGAAGTCTAAGGTATTCCACACACTATAATCTTAATATAGGACATTAACTATTGTCACTCATTATTTTATGGATGCTGGGAAAGTTCAGATCAAGGCTAAGCAGGTAGCATATTAGGTTCAGTGGCATCCCCAGAAAGCAGATACCAGCATGGAGTTACAAAGACAACGGATATCTATAATAATGCCTTTAAAAGATAAAGAATGGGAAAAGGAGTAGGCAGGGTAAACCTGCAGACTGCAATGTTGGTCTCACATATGTGAACAGAAAGGGGTTCTGGAAGCAGGCTTGAATCGAAAGTGACTCACTGCGTGGTATGACTCTCAGAAAGTCCTCTCCACTTCAACAGGGAGCTCAGGGGCAAATATTTAAATATTGCCTATGGGTTGGGGAGGGGTCTCCACTGGGCAGAAATGAGCAGTCCCTAGGACTCTACCACGTTCAGTCATTAACTAGAGCTGTTGAGGAAGAGCATGGCCTCAGCTCACATGCTGCTGTGGGTCCCAAAGCTGCTGCAGCTGGAACTTATCAATTAGATGTACTCCTTGCAGCTGATTTGCAGTTTCTCTCTTCAAAGAGGAGTCAAGTGGCACACTTCCGTGGCTGTCATACATGCCTACAATGTTCTGTGGTACTGGATCAAGTTGTGAACACTACATTTTATACAAAGTATAAGCAAATGAGAGTGACTACATATATCAGGAATCAAAAAATAAAAAAAAAATGAAGAAACAAAGGATGTTTGATATAGTTGGATATTTGTCCCCATTCAAATCTCACGTTGAAATGTAATCGCTAATCTTGGAGGTGTGGCACATCTCTCATGAATGGCTTGGGCAACCCCTTTGGTGATAAGCGAGCTCTCACTCTGGGTTCATAGGAGATCTGGTTACTTAAAAGTGTGTGTGACCTCCCCTCCATTCTCTCTCTTACTCAGGCCCCTGCCATATGAAACGCCTGTTTTCTCTTTGCTTTCTACCATGATTATAAACTTCCTGAGGCCTCCAAGGAGCAGATGCCAGCACCATATATCCTGTAAAGCCTGCAGAATCATGACCCAATTAAACTTCTTTTCTTTATAAATTGCCTAGTCTCTGGTATTTATAGCAATGCAAGAACGGCCTAATACAATGTTTAATCAGGATAATCAAATAATTAAGAAATAGTGTTCTATAATAAAGAAACGATGACGAGGATTGGGGGAAGGGCTGGTGGGGGCACAGAACATCTTTACCACAGATTACTGGCACAATTCAAGTTCCAAAGACTGAAGTTTGTAGCTATGAGTTTTTCCCAACAATGACAGTGTTAGATGGCAGTGAAGTCTCCATCCCTAGAAATATTCAATCAGTGGTTAATTAATTACCTGCCAGAGATGTTGTACCTGGGATAGTTGCATCACAAGAGTCTGGTCTAGGGCCCTTTAACTCTTAACATCCAGTGTTGATACATGAGTTTTCTAGACTTAGCTATTGCAGAGTTTGGAGAGAGCCTCTTCATCTTCCCCACACTATTATTCCCTATGTGAGAAACGAAGAACTACAAAGTAGAGAAAGCTTTTTATAAGTTGTCACTGAATACCTGAAACTGCAATGTAGTGCCACATTATAAAGTGGTGAATTACATCTCATGAGATTAATAGGAAGGAATAATTGATGTCATACTTTGTGCTCCAAGTCGTTTTATGCATGTGATCTTATTAGTCCTCAGGGTATTTCTGTAAGGTAAGTTGGAGGGCAGGTTTTCTTCCTTATCCTCATTATGAAGACAGCAAAAGGAGTAGGGAAAGAGAGTGACTGGTTCAGAGCTCATTTGTAATTCAGAGGTATGGCTGAAAACAGAAATCAAGATTTCCATCCCAAGGTATTCAAAGTGGACAATTCTAAAGCTCTTCTTCAACATCTGTAACTTAAAACACAAACACACACAGTTCAGAAAGAAGCAGTACTGGCCCTCTAGGCCCCAGCCCACTCTCAGGATGAACTTCTATTAGCCTCTTTATGAAGTGTAACTGCATGGAGGCTGATGTTGTGATGTGACTCTAGGGTTATAATAGAAATGCTCACTAAGTTCCAAAATGTAAAGCAATAAAATCAATCTCTTCTAAGTCCGATGGCAGAATAAATTAAATGGTGAGCCAGAGAAATAGCTTGTCATACAACTCCATCACACCAACACGGTTGCCATTATTATCACTAATTAATACATGATTGCTCACCATGTATTAGGTGTTTCTTTCTACAGCTAAATAGAAAAGAATAGAACTGAGCAGATCAAAGAAAGCAGGTCTTAGTAGGTAGAAGAAGAAAAGAAAAAGAAAACAGGAAAAACAAAACACTTCACTGGAAATGCCAAGACCTGGGTTTTCATTGTGGCTTTGCTACCAACATTCTCTGTGACCTCAAGCAGTTTATTTAAAATCTTCTGCATCTCAGTTTCCCAATGTGTAATATAAAGTGAGAACTAATGACTCGGAGGCCATCGAATTGTAAGATTCCATTAATAACAACCCATGTTCTTATGTTTCATAAAGATTCATATCCTGAACTACTTCACATCACCTGACAGGCTCCTGAGGATGTCATTGATGATATCACTCCTACTTAAGCTTCTTCTATAGGACAGCAATCCTGCATTTTGGTAAAGAGAGAGCATCCTTTAATCTCAGAAACAAAGAGATTATTTTATGCTAAGGTACACTCTGTTCTCAATTGTTCTTATTTTACAGATATTCTTCTAAGTGATAAAACTATGAAAAGACTAATGAAGTACTAGGCATCAAGCAGTAATGGAGCCAGGTAAAACATTTTGAAATGGGAAAATGAACCCCTTTCTCTTTCAGAGATATGTCTCCGAACCTGAAAGTCAGAATCATAGCCAAATTCTGGGGAGATGTCAAGTAAATATAAGTAATGACTAAACAACAATTTCAGAAAAAAATTATTATTTAGTAGAGAAGCATGTGTCTTGGGTTCTTTGACTTTTACAAGTACAAATAACTTCTGGCTTCCTATCTTGGAAGTAGTCAGTCACATGCAAGAAACACTTCTTCTTCTATCGCTCAGAGAATTGAGGTCACAGGGCTAAGCCACAGACCCTAAGACAAGACAGAGGTAGATACAGAGAATCACAAATTAATTGGTGCTTAGGAGGAGAAATCTGTGGCTGGAATTACATCTTGGTTAGAGAAAAAAGGAGAGAAGAAATAGGAATACGTGAACTGTAATTGACAAGTTGCTGGAGCTTAGTCTAGACTAGCTTGGGAGTTAAAAACCCCACTCCGATGATCAATATATTTTTGTTAAAAGACAGTGACTTTTCCAAGCTCACACATTAAGCGTCAAAACCGTGATTCTCGCTCATGTGTACCTAATAGCTTCATACCATGAATGTTTTCTGCATATGAATATTGACAAGACACAGATCATATGGAGAATGCCGACTAGGACACTCAGGTGACTTGAAAGCATATTATGAAGAAAAGTTGAAATCGCCAGGACTAACACCATTTCACAAAAATTATAGAGTACATTTTGCCTCCATAGAAAGAACTTCATAATCATTATTGCCTGCCAAAATGGAAAGGTTTGCTCTGTGATATCTTAAAACCAGTATGAGATATCTGTGCCGGAGACAAGTAGGTGCTCACCGATCCTACTCACCTTTCTGATGGGCACACAACAACAAACAACACTGTGTTTCCCATTCATTAAAGGTAGGTGCAGGCAGGTCCCAGTCACTCCAGTGCCACTTGGGAAAGTAATACACAAAATACCCAGGTCTGACACATAAAACTTCCCATGAATGACCTTCCAAATTTTTTTTCCTTCTTTCTGACAATTAACCAAATAATACTATAAAGACTTAGAAGGTGGTGTTATGAGATGCAGCAACCCCGTGCCTCTACTGAATTGAATGAAATCCATGATTAGCCTTCACTGAGTGATAAATAAACTTCATGTTTGTCAAACCACTCAAATTTGGGACTTGTGTATTACAGATTCATGCTTTGCTCTTTCTGGCAGATGGCTAACTCTTGAAAAGGTTTATTTGGCTTTTCCCCACCCCCACAGGTAACTATGCCAACTGTTTTCACCAACCGAAGCTACTGGCAGGAGATTAAACTGTGAGAAGAAGAGAGAACTGCAAATATTTCTTGCCCTCTCTTAATCCCTACTTTTAGCAAATATCTAGCAGAGGCTACTTTAATTGTTGAGCTCCTGCAAATAGGATCTGCAGTTTACAATAGGATTTGCAGTTTGCTCCTGCAAATAGGATTTGCAGAAGAAACTATGGCTGCAGTTTCTTCTACATAGCCCTGGCTCCTCGACAATGGTTGCAGAGCCTCCTCCTCCTGGCCACTCCAGCCCTAGGATTGAGAATAGTTTCTTCCTTTGCTAATCTGAGTTATTGCATACCTCCTGATTGCTCTTACAACCCTAACAGTTTCATAATTTATTTTCTGTATTAAATTTCTTCTGTTTAGTTACCTGGTGTGGGTTTTGTTCTTCTGGCTAGACACTAAAATGGTATGCTTCAGTTGCTAGCAATGATATATGTGACATTAAAATATAGGATAAACCTCTGGATTCTATTATATCCAAGGCCACTATAATTTTATTAAACATCTCATCATGAAGCTAAAGTAATAACCTACATTTCAAAGAGTAGACAAGTTAAAAGAAGTGTATTATTCAGGATGCTTTCAGTCGTAACAGAAAACTGAACTCAAAATGGTAAATAATCAAAGATTTTTGTAACTGAAAATATAGAAGTGGAGGGGTATTAAGGGTTCCAGGTTAAGTAATATTGGGTTCGCAGTTCCATTCCATCTGAAATTTGCCTCTGAAGCCTGGTTTTGGTCATTATCGCAACTTAGTGGTCAGTGGCAGCTACATTAACGTTTCTTTGTTTATACTCCTAAACACTTCTGTCAGCGTCACCAATCAAAAGTCCTTAAGGTCGCACTATTTGTACAAACACGAAAAAAATACCTACATGGAATTCCGTGGTTTTATTGGCTCAGTACTGTATCATCAGCCCCAGTTTCTGCAAAAGTGGGTATTTATTTGCTTATATCTATCAGGGCTCAGTCTGAAGCTGGACATGGGGTATATCATACACAACTCATATCTGTAACACTTCTAAGAAGTAATGGCTTCCTAAAGCAATAGAATGTTATTAGAATGAGAAGGAGAATGGATGCCATGAAAATATTCAACATGTCTATTACAGTGAATATTTACAATATTAATGTTTTCATTTTAAGTAGAACTTTTTCCCCTTTATATCACTCTGAGGTTTATACAGACATGAAATTAAGTTAGCCTGAATGGAGTAAATCTGATTATCATCTGCCATGTCTTAGGGTGCCAATTAAATCTTCAGGAAGGCAATTTTTACAGAGATAATGGGTAAAGTGCAATGGGAAGCTGGATCAGTGTTATGATCTTAAATCTTTTTGTAAAAGTCATTACTAGAACACACTGTGAATTCAGGTGCAATTCTTAAATTATTTTAAATTGTACATAACCAATTAGGGAACCCATCTATAGATAGTTTCCTATGGAAGGCAGAGTTATATATTATTTTGGGAATAATAGACACAATGATTAAGGACAACAAAATATTATAGCCAAGATGTGTGTGCTTTCCAGAGACACACTTTTCAAACACTCATGACCTATTACTTGTTAGCTGAGATTAAGCAATTACTCTTTCACTAGGGTGCTTTTTGATGTTCATGTTAATAGTAATCATGTCTATATTTGAGTGCTTTTTCTAACCAGAATGTTTTGCTAAGAATCTCTCATTTAATTCCCACAATAGCTGTATTAATTTGACACTATTATCTCCATTTACAAACCAGGAAGCTGAAATGTAGAGAGTTGAAATACATATCAAAAAGCAAAAAGGGACTTTTATAAACTGCTCATGTACAACCCATAAATGGTGTGACCACAGTCAAACGTTGTACTTTTCTTGATCTCAGTTTATTTTTTTTGTTTTATTTTTTATATAGATGGAGTCTTGATATTTTGCCCAGGCTAGTCACAAACTCCAGGACTCAGAGGATCCTCTCACCTCAGTCTCTTAAATAGCTGAGTCCTGGGATGACAAGCATGGGCCCCACACCAGGCTGAATTTTCACTATTGCAGGCTGATTCTTGCTAAGGAAACAACTGGAAACAAAGTTGAAGCAGCATCTTTTTAAAATTTTTTACATTAGGGAATAGTAGCAACAGCAATAGTAGCAACAAACAATAATCCAGTTTAAAAGTTCTTAACAAAATCAGAAAAGAACAAGTCCACAACAAAAGAGCTAAGAGAAAGCCCATGAGCTACTCATACTGCTTCTTCTGTAGCCCTACACTGACAAAATTTAAGACTTAGCCACAAAAAGAAGAAGGGGAGCAGGCTGGGGCAAACACCTGTAAGCCAGGGATATGAGCACTCTTTCCCCAGCTTTCACACTGGCAGTAGTGATGAAGAAGTCGTCTCAGAATTCTACATTCTCCTGGCAGGAAATCTAGCCTTATTTCTTCTCCACACATACAGGGGGCACTTCTACTCTCCATGCGTCTTTTCACTTCACACTACAAGAATCCATATTTCCTATATCAAGAAAATATACATCCCAATTTTTTTTTTTTTTTTTTTTTTTGAGACAGAGTCTCGCTCTGTCATACAGGCTGCAGTGCAGTGGCGCGATCTCAGCTCACTGCAAGCTCCACCTCCCAGGTTCACGCCATTCTCCTGCCTCAGACTCCTGAGTAGGAGCCTCCTACAGGCACCCACCACCACGCCCAGCTAACTTTTTGTATAGAGACGGGGTTTCACAGTGTTAGCCAGGATGGTCTCGATCTCAAGACCTGGTGATCCGCCCACCTTGGCCTCCCAAAGTGCTGGGATTACAGATGTGAGCCACTGTGCCCAGCCTATACATCCCAATTTTTACCCCATCTCCCAATTATCCCCTTCTCCTAAAACATTCTTCTGTACCTGTAGAACTCACAGGCACAAATCAACATAACCACCTAGAGTCCCAACACCTCCTCAAAATGTTCCCTTCTTGCTGTAACAGAAATTTAATCTTTCTTTGAAGATACTACTTCTGCAGCCTACTCAAATAGTGAATGTTTTCTCTACCATATACCCTGAAAATAGAATGGGTGCCCTTCTGACTGTTGACTCTTCCAATCACTTTCATTTTCTTATTCTTGAAAAGCTGTACCATTGTAGAGATTTTCTATGACTCTTACTTGTTGAAATCATCTACAAAACCTACATCACCCCTTTATCTTTTAAAAATTAGTTCCTGATTTTTTTTATTACTATCCCCAACACTCCTGTCATATTTTTGGGTTACTTCGCTATTTGTGTAGATCATAGAACTATGGTTGACTTCTCAAATTCTTGATATCTTCATCCCCATTTATGTGGACTTTACTGAGACAGTCATTCCCAACACACACGCTAGATCCAGTTATTACCAACAACTGCAACCTCATCATAATCTCAATTTCAAGAATCTCACTCTCTGATGTGTCTTATATATCCATGTCATGCCCTCTAGAACACCAGCAGCGTCAGCAAACCATGTACATGATCAAATTTTCATTAACTCTCAATCCCATAATGTCTTCTCTTTTCTCCTTAACCTAGATAAGTCTCATCATCCAATCAAAGAAATCTCTTTCATCTTAAGTTTCTTTTTCCCATTTTCATTTAATGTCTTTAACTTGGAACTTTTAAAATTTAATCTCTTGCCTATTCTGATTTGTACTTGTGTAATTGAATAGGGCTGGAAATGTACACACATTCCATGCATTGTATCATGAAAAATTTATGACATCAAACATCAAGTGTGCCTGTAGAGCTGCACAGAATCCTGTAATCTTTTTACCAGGCCAGTTGCTCAGTCTCCTGGATAATTATTTCATACCTTCTCATTTTTCCTGTAAATCCTAATGCCTTCTGGTTCATTTTCATTCTAACATTACTTCTCATCTCATTGAGAATAATGCAAACATTAAAAATGTCTACCCCACATTTACATATCTACCTACCTTTTTTCCCCTCTCATTATTACTGGCATGCTTTGTTCATATGCAAGGTCTTTCTACTCGGTACTAAATCTTATTGCCATTTGTCCACTCAATAACTTTGACTGCAGCAGTTTATTATACTCCCTCTTCTGCTTCATGCAAGCTTATCTAAATCCTTAATATCACCATATATTGTTATACTGATGTATATACATGTAGTTTATACTTGTTATTTATCCTGTTAATAGTTAAATGTTAAATGACTGCCATTCTCTTATCTGTTACTCATTTTTATTTTCCACTTTAAATTTCTTCCTCTATACTTAAATCTAGCTTCTAAACTTTTGCCCCCAAACTTCTATTCCAATTGTTCAATGAATTCTAATAGTTATCTCATTTTTCAGCTTGCATCTTGCCTAACCTATCAGTAGGCATTTGACATGGCTCTACATCTCTCCTTTTTAAAGCATGTTCTTAATTTGGCTTTCAAGACCACACAGTGTCTTGGTATTAATTCTAAACCCTCCAGTTGATTTATCATCATGATAAGCAGAATAATTATCCCCTAAAGTTGCACATGGTCTAATTCCTAGAACTTGTGAACATATTTGCCTTGCAGGGCAAAAGGACTTTGCAGATGTGATTCAGTTAAGGATCTTGGGATGGGGATATTATCCTATATTAGCCATGTAGGCCCAGTGAAATCACAAGTTTCTTTATAAGAGGAAGATGAGAGTCAGAATCAGAGAAGAAGATGACATGGCAAAAACAGTGGTCAGAGGGATGGGATTTCTGGCTTTCAATAAGGAAGAAGGGGTTGGGGAGTGACCAAGATGGCCAACTAGAAGCAGCTAGTATGTGTGTGGCTTTCATGGAGAGGAACGGAAGGAGGAGGTAAATACAACACTTTCAACTACAACATCCAGGTACATGCACTGGGAGTAACCAAGGAAACAACTCAACCCATGGGAAATGAAGAAAAGCAGGGCAGGACAATGGCCCACCCAGGAGCAACACAGAGCCAAGGGAACCTCCCCCACCTAGGAAAGCAATGAGTGAATGTGTAACCCTAGGAACCCATGCTTCTCCCATGAATCTTTGTAACCCTCAGGTCAGGAGATCACCTCATAAACCCATTCCACCCAAGGGCCTTCAGTCTGACACACAGTGAGGTCTCAGCAGGGCAGCCACTCAGGCTTTCCAGGCTTCCCAGAAAAAACAACTGCAACTACAGCAAAATGGGAGGAAGTTAGACCCCCTGTACACATCCCCTAGAAAAGAGGCTGAATCTAGGGGGTTGAGCAGCAATAGCCTGCAGGCTCCACTTCCAGAGCACCTCACAGGATAAGACCCACTGGCTCTGAATTCTAGCCAGCCACCGGTAGCATCATTATACCTCCCTGAGACAGAGCTCCCAGTGGGAGGGGTGGGCCACCATATTTGCTGTTTCAGCGACTTAGCCGTTCCAGCCTTCGGGTTTTGGAGAGTCCAAGCCAACCAAGGGTGAAAGGGATCACCTAGCACTACACAGCTACTCTATGAAAACATGGCCAGACTGCTTCTTTAAGTGGGTCTCTGATCTCATTCCTCCTCCATGGGCAGGATCTTCCAACCAGGGTCTTCAGCCATCCCTGCCACTGTTCTCCTGCCAACAGAGCTTTCAAACCTCCCTGGGATGGAGCTCCCAGAGGAAGGGGCAGGCTGCCATCTTTGCTATTTTGCAGACTTCACTGGTGATACCTCCAGGTACTGGAATCCACGGCAACTAGAACTGGGGGCAAGCAGACCCCAAGCATACCACAGCAGCCCTATGCAAAAGCAGCCAGAATGTTATTTGGGTGCCTGTTCCAATATCTCCTCACCAGGCAGGTCTTCCAGGCCTGGGCCTCTAGCCACCCACCGCCAGAGCTATGATGTCAGTAGCAACTTGGCAACTCCCTGGACAGAGCCTCCAGGGGCAACTGAAAACCTTTCTGCTACTGCCTCTACACTGTAACTGTTATTGGTAACAAAGGAGCAATGATCCCAAGTGTCTTATCCACACCTCCAACAAGCTGCAGGTGACCCAAGAAGATGTGGCCAGTCCACTTCTCATAGGTCCCACACAACTCCAACTGCTGGTCACCAGACAGGAAGCCCCTGACTTGGGCACAGCACATATCCTTCATCCTGGTCTGATTTCACTGAATGATTGATGACCCACATCTCTCTGGGGTGGAGCCCCCAGGAGACAAGCAAAGTAGTGGGGCAGCAAGCCACCACCCATTTTGAATGGGTGGAGCCCAGAAGGTTTGGTATGGGAGTGTCTGTAGCAGAACATGGCCAGGAATGGCCATTCCTTTAGGTTTCACTTGCTGCCATAAGAGACTTTAGCCCTAGGGGAACTGTCAGACCGAACTTTGCAGGGCAGTCTCTCACATCAGATGGGGCTGGTGGGCACAGAGCCAGAAAGCCCCACCTCTATCAGTACCCTATCTTGCACTAACTATGCACAGAGAACAGGGGATCCTCCCACAACCCGAGCAATCACTCCTGCTTGTGAGACACAGAGAAGGCACTGAGACCAGCACCAGCCAGCACCCTGCTCCAAGCCAACACCAGCTCCAGTGAAACAGTTCACACAGTCTCCAGTAGGGGCCCCCGTTTTTTCCCCTGTCCCTGCACCCCATTGGCTACTTTGCCCCTGCCACTGTAGTAAATGCCCCCAGGCAATCAGGCACCCTTGCATCCACTAGCACTCTGCTGCAGCTGCTGTACCTTACCCCCCACCAGCACAGTGGACTCCAAGCCTTGAGGAGCCAGAGAACAAATTTGGGGTCCAATACAAATCCTTCAGAGTTAGATCACAAGTCCACAAGTTGGGACCTGATTGTTGGTCCTCTAAAATCTCCCAGAAACAAAGCCAGTCAGCTGAATCTATCTTATACCATAATCAAACCCGCAAGGTCATCAAATAGGATAAAAGAAAAAAGAACCCATCCAAATGTCAACAACCTCAAAGACCGAAGATAGATGAGCTCACAGAGATGAGAAAGAATCAAGGCAAGAATGTTGAAAACTCAAAAACCCAGAATGCCTTCTTTCCTCCAAATTACTGCATCACATCTCCAGGCCAATGCTGAGATGGCTGAAATAAAAGAAGTAGAATTCAGAATATGAATAGGAGCAAAGTTCATTGAGCTACAGGAGTACATTGTAACTCAATGCAAGGAAGCTAAAAATCATCATAAAACATTGCGGGAGATGACAGACAAAATAACCAGTACAGAGAAGAACGTAACCACCCTGACACAGCTGAATAACACACTGCAAAAATTTCATAGTGCAATCAAAAGTATGAGCAGCAGAATAGACCAAGCAAAGGAAAAAATCTTGGAACTTGAAGACTGGCCTTCTGAAATAAGACAGGCAGACAAGAATAGAGAAAAAAGAATGAAAAGTAATGAGCAAGCCCTCTCAGACATATGGGGTTATATAAAGAAACCAAATCTATGACTGATTGGTGTACCTGAAAGAGATGGGGAGAATGGAACCAACCTGGAAAACATAGTTCAGGATATCATCCATGAGAACGTTCCCAACCTAGCTAGGGAGGCCAACATTCAAATTCAAGAAATGAAAACCCTGGCAAGATACTCCACAAGAAGTTCATCCCCAAAACACATAATCATCAAATTCTCTAAGGTCAAAATGAAAAAAAAAGAAATGTTAAGGGCAGCTAGAGAGAAAGGCCAGGTCACCTAAAAGGAAAGCCCATCAGACTAACAGTGGACCTCTCAGCTTAAACCCTAAAAATCAGAGGAGATTGGGGGTCAATATTCAACATCCTTGAAGAAAATAAATTCCAACCCAGAATTTATATCCAGCCAAACTAAGCTTCAAAAGTGACGGAGAAATAAGATCATACAGGCAAATTCTGAGAGAATTTGTTATCACCAGATCTGCCTTACAAGAGTTCCTGAAAGAAACACTAAACGTGGAAAGGAAAGACCATTACCAGCCACTACAAAAGCACACTGAAGTACACAGACCAGTGACACTATAAAGTAACCACATAACCGAGTCTGCAAAATAACCAGCTAACATCATGATGACAGGAACAAATCCCTATTTATCAATACTAACCTTGAATGTAAATGGGCTAAATGTCCCAATTAAAAGACACAGAGTGGCAAAATGGATAAAGAATCAAGACCCATTGGTGTGTTGTCTTCAAGAGACCCATTTCACATGCAATTACAAACAGAGGTTCAAAATAAAGGAATGGAGAAAAGTCTACCAAACAAATGGAAAACACAAAAAAGCAGGGGTTGTAATCCTAGTGTCTGACAAAACAGATTTAAAGCAAGAAATATTAAAAAATACAAAGAAGGGTATTATATAATGGTAAAGGGTTCAAATAAACAAGAAGATCTAACTATCCTAAATATATACATATGCAACACATGAGCACCCAGATTCATAAAGCAAATTTTTAGACTCTCAAAGAGACCTAGGCTCCCACACAATCACAATGGGAGACTTCATCATCCCACTGACAATATTAGACAGATCAGTGAGACAGAAAATTAACAAAGATAGTCAGGACCTGAACTCAGCACTGGATCAAATGAACCTGATAGATACAGAACTTTCCATACATACACACACACAAAAAGAGAATATACATCCTTCTCATTCTTAATTTTAGATCACATCTAAAATTGATCACATAATTGGAAATAAAACAGTCCTTCACAAATGCAAAAGAACTGAAATCATAAAAAAAAATCTCTTGCACCACAGTGCAATAAAATTAGAAACCAAGACCAAGAAATTCACTCAAGACCATACAATTACATGGAAATTGAATAACCTGCTCCCGAATGACTTTTGGGTGAATAATGAAATTAAGGAAGAAATCGATAAGTTTCTTGAAACTAATGAGAACAAAGATGCAACATACCAGCATCTCTGGGACACAGCTAAGGCAGTGTTAAAAGGGAAATGTATAGCACTAAATGCCCATATCAAAAAGTTAGATCAAATTTACAACCTAACATTACAACTAAAACAACTAGAGAACCAAGAGCATAAAAATCCCGAATCTAGAAGTGTATTAATTAGTCAGGGTTCTCTAGAGAAAAGGAGCTAATAGGAGATATACATACACATACATATACACACATATATACATATATGTATCTCATATATATACATATATACATATATGTGAGATTTTTAAGTATTAAGTTACACAATCACAAGGTCCCACAATAGGCTGTCTGCAAGCTGAGGATCAAAGACAGCCATTCCGAGTACCAAAACTGAAGAACTTGGAGTCCAGTGTTGGAGGGCAGGAAGCATCCAGCACGGAAGAAAGATGTAGGCTGGGAGGCTAGGCCAGTCTCTTTTTCTCACGTTTTTCGGCCTGCTTTATATTTGCTGGCAACTGATTAGATTGTGTCCACCATACTAATGGTGGATCTGCCTTCCCCAGCCCACCAACTCAGATGTTAATCTCTTTTGGCAACACCCTTATAGACATATCTAGGATCAATACTTTGTATCTTTCAATCCTATCAAGTTGACACTCAGTATTAACCATCACAAGTCCACCCCTTGTCAGCTTGAACCCATACACATCTCCTGAGATCATATATAATCTTCAAATAAAGACAATAATAAGGTCATAATTACTCCTAACATAATACATCTATCCCTCCTACAACTGGAAACGCACCAATCCTAAACCCAAATACTGTCACATAAAGTTAACAATACTTAAATGCTGATATGAAGTCAATAAATCTTATGTCACATAGTAAAGGAAGAGGAAATAAAGGTTTTTTTTTTGTGTGTGTACAAGTATATACAGGCACAAACATGTTTTTAGCAAAAGGAGGAGGAAATACTCATGACAATTACAGTCCCCATTTCTGCAGCTGGTCATGTGGTTGTGCCGGTATTGATGACTACCTTCTTTTACTACCCATTCTGTATTTCCTTTGCCTTCAGCAAGCACCCCAGTAGGTCATGGTATTTTCCTGGAGGAGTGACCCAAATCTTCATTTCTGAGGGGTCTTGGCCATTTGTAGTCCTGCCTGGACTGGACTGTTGTAGTTTCCCATTGAGCTTAATCACAGAGCATGCCCTAATAGTAAGAGATGCCTAATAGTAAGAAATGCCCTAATGGATCTCCTATATTCCATAATATTCCTCCTTACCTCCGTTGTGGAGTTGTGGACTGAATTCATCATGATAGTCCAGGTCAATCATCCCAGCCAACACTCTAACTCCCTTCTTGGCCTGTTGGCTTAAACATAGGAGGAACCCAAAGTGCCGAGGTGGCAATCATAACTTCCAGTTTAATAAAATCTTTGTCGTGTCTCCTGGTGGCAGCATTCCTCCCTCTGGAACTAGGAACTCTAGGCCAGCAGAACATAATGTCATGGGAACAGGAAGCAAAAATTTTGCTTGTGCATCACTAGGGGTGATGGTGAGTGGTGCTACTTCCACTTCCACCCCTTGATTCCTGGACCCGTGAATCCTGGCTATAGAAGAAACAGTAACATATATTGGACAGTGATTCAGAGCATACAAAGCCTTCTGGAGAACTTTGCCCCAGCCCTGCAAAGTATTGTCACCTAGTTGGCATTGTAATTGTGGCCTCAAAAGGCCATTCCACCGTTCTATCATACAGCTGTTTCAGGATGATGGGGAACATGGTAAGACCAGTGAATTCCATGAGCACAAGCCTACTGCCACACTTCTTCAGCTGTAAAGTGAGTGCCTTGGTCAGAGGCAATGCTGTGTGAAATACCATGATGGTGGACAAGGCATTCCATGAGTCCACGGATGGTAGTCTTGGCAAAAGCATTGCATGCAGGATAGGCAAACCCATATCCAGAGTAAATGTTTATTTCAGTGAAGACAAATCTCTGTCCTTTCCATGATGGAAGAGGTCCAATATAATCAACCTGCCACCAGGCAGCTGGCTGATCACCCTGAGGAATGGTGCCATATTGAGGGCTTAGTGTTGGTCTCTGCTGCTGGCAAATTGGGCACTCAGCAGTGGCTGTAGCCAGGTGAGCCTTGGTAAGTGGAAGTTCATGTTGCTGAGCCCATGTGTAACCTCCATCCTGGCCAACATGGCCGCTTTGTTCATGGGCATATTGGATGATGACAGGGTGGCTGGGAAAAGAGGCTGAGTGGTGTCCACAAAACCGGCCATCCTATCCACTTGATCATTAAAATCCTCATCTGCTGAGGTCACCCATTAGTGAGCACTCACATGACATACAAATATCTTCAGTTTTTGACCACTCAGAGAGGTTCATCCACATACCTCTTCCCCAAATTTGTCACCAATTTTCCAATTATGTTTCTTCCAAGTCCCTGACCATCCAGCTAAACCATTGGCTACAGCCCATGAATCAGTATATAATCACACATCTGACCATGTCTCCTTCCATGCAAAGTGCACAACCAGGTGCACTGCTCGAAGTTCTGCCCACTGGAAAGATTTTCCTTCACAACTGTCTTTTAGGGATGTCCTAGAAAGGGACTGTAGTGATGCAGCTGTCCACTTTTGGGTGGTGCCTGCGTATCATGCCAAACCATCTGTGAACCAGGCCCTAGTCTTCTCTTCCTCTATCAACTAATCATAGGAAACTCCCCATGAGGCCATCAGTGCGGGCTGGGGGAGAGAAGGCAGGGCGGCAGGAGTGGAGACAATGGGCACTTGAGCCACTTCCTCATGTAACTTATTTGTGCTTTTAGGACCTGCTCAAGCCTGATCATGTACACTACTTCCATTCGATGATGGAATGCTGCTGTGCATGACCCACTTTAGGTTAGATGGGTCAGAAAGCACCCAGTTCATGATAGGCAGTTCAAGTAACATGGTGACTTGATGATCCATTTTCACATGTTCAGTTTCCACCAAAGCCTAGCAACAGGCCAAGAGGTGTCTCTCAAAAGGAGAGTACTTATCTGCAGAAGATGGCAGAGCCTTACTCCAAAATCCTAGAGAGGACTCCACTGTGATTTACCTATGGGGGCCTGCAAAAGACTCCAAACAGCTTCCATATCTGCCACTGACACCTCAAGCACCGTTGGATATTCTGGGTCATATGGTCCAAGTGGCAGAGCAGCTTGCACAGTGGCCTGGACCTGATGTACAGCCTTCTGTTCTGGACCCTACTAAAAACTGGAAGCCTTTCAGGTCACTCAATAAATAAGCCAGAGTAACATACCCAAATGAGAAATGTGTTGCCTCCAAAATTCAAATAGGCGCAATATGTGTTGTGCCCCTTTCTTGGTTGTAGGAGGGGCCAAATGCAGCAACTTATCCTTTACCTTAGAAGGAATATCTCGACAGGCCCCACAGCACTGGACCCTTAAGAAATTTTAATGAGGTCTCTGAATTTCAGTCAGATTTATTTCCCATCCTCTGACACAGAAATGTCTCCCCAATAAGTCCAGTGTGTTTGCTACTTCTTGCTCACTGGATCCAATCAGGATAAGGCAATCAATGTAATGGATGAGTGTGGTATCTCACAGAAGTGAAAAGCAATCAAGTTCTCTTTGAACAAGATTATGACACAAAGCTGGAGAGTTGATACACCCCTGAGGTAGGACAGTAAAGGTATATTGCTGGTCTTGCCAGCTGAAGGCCAATTTCTTCTGGTGGACCTTATCGACAGGAATGGAAAAAAAGCATTTGCCAAGTCAGTGGCTGCATACCAGGTACCAGGAGATGTGTTAATTTGCTCAAGCAATGAAACCACAGCTGGTACAGCAGCTGCAATCAGAGTCACCATTTGGCTAAGCCTACTATAATCCACTGTCATACTCCATAATCTGTCTGTCTCCTGCACAGGCCAAATCGGAGAGTTGAACGGGGATGTAGAGGAAATCACCACCCCTGCATTCTGGCATTGGGGAAATGACCACAGGAGGAGTCCAGAGACCCAGTGGACCCACTGTAAGTGGGACATGAGCTAAAACTCCATTAATTACTGGACCTCCGTAAGTCCCTACTTTAACTGGAGGACCACAATGAGGTTTTGGGCCTGCTGGAATCAATGTCAGCTCAGTGCCAGTGTCCAGTAGTCCCTGAAATGTCTGATCATTTCCCTTTCCCCAGTGCAGTTACCCTGGCAAAAGGCTGATGGTCTCCTTGGGGAAGGATGAGAGAAATATTCACTGCATAAATTGTCAGTAATGTAGTGGGGTCCTTTGTCAAGGGGACCCAGACTCCCCTTCATTCAAGCAGTTCTGGATCTGTAAACTGGCTCAAGTCTGGAAATCTACTGAGGAGCCGTGATTCTGTTTTTATAATTCAAATTTGTCTTTTGTCCATTCAGCCTAGGAGTCTTCTGCTTGTATAAATTAAGTAGGAATGAAGTAGGCTTCCTTTCAGTTTTATTTCTAGAAACACCATGATTAGCCAATGCCAGAGCTCTACATGAGTCAGACTATTCTGATTTCCACTTTGCCTCTGCTGTCCATCACGTAGCTACACCCACCTTGCCTTTGGTGGTTGAGTGCTGCCACTTGGCCTCTGCCACCTCAGAATCCAATTATTCCCATTGTATTTAAATTTTCTAGTTTAGTGACTGCTGTTCCCACCATTAGATCTGACATACAGAGAAGAGCAATTACAGGGCTCTTCAAAGATGCAGGTGCTGCCCTCACAAATCTGTTTCACAAGGCATTGGTCAAGGGTGTATCTTCTGTACCCTCCAAGCTGATCTAAAGTGACAAATCCAGTCCACCATCCCAATCTCCCTAAGCCCTTGGATCCCTTCCTCTACATTAAACCAAGAGAGACCAGGCATTTCCAGCCCACTCACAGTGGGCCATCTTTTAATCCATATTTCAGCTAATCAAGCAAATAAACTATAAGAACCATTTTTTACTCCTTGATCTGCAACATTAAATGCAGAGTCCCTACTCAGTGGGCCAAAATCAATAAATTCAGCCTGATCTAACTCTATGTTCCTTCCACCATTATCCCATACCCTTAATATCCATTCCTATGCCTGTTCTCCAGATTGTTGTTCATATAAATTAGAGAACTCAGTTCTTTTCGAATGTATCATACTGCTCTTTCTCTATAGGAGATAAGAGTCTCAGGACAATCTTTGCAGATTTAAGGCTCAGTATCTGCTTCTGAAGCAAGAGACAGAATTGCTGAGTTCATCGTTTTCTTTCATCACTTTGTCCACTGAACTTAGAAGCAACCAACCAGGTTCATTATGTTCCTTGGTTCTCCACATATGGTCAAAGGTATTATGTGTAGTCATTCAACTCCTTGCCTCCTACAAGTGGTGAATCAAGAGTGTCAAATGCATTTATTTTGCCAAACTCTCTAAACAGTTCATGCCAAGTACTATCTGTGTTTTCCATATTATCAGAAGTACAGTCCTTAGCATTTTTGGGTCTAATCATATTAAGCAGCCAACTCCAGAAACCCCAAAACCAATGAAAGAACTCCATCCTTAATATTCTGTCCCTCTAGAACCACTCCTGGTACCAAAATCTGTATTAGTCAGGGTTCTCTAAAGGAACACAATAGGAGATATATATATAGATAAAAATTACATATTATATATATAAATTTTAACTTACATGATCACAAGGCCCCACAATAGGCCGTCTGCATGCTGAGGATCAAGGATCAAGGAGAGCCAGTCCAAGTCCCCAAACTGAAGAACTTGGAGTCCGTTGTTGGAGGGCAGGAAGCATCCAGCATGGGAGAAAGATGTAGTCTGGGAGGCTAGGCCAGTCTCTCTTTCTCGTGTTTTTCTGCCTGCTTTATATTTGCTGGTAGCTGATTAGATTGTGTCCACCATATTAAGAGTGGATCTGCCTTCCCCAGCCCACTGACTCAAATGTTAATCTCTTTTGGCAACATCCTCATAGACACATCCAGGATTAATACTTTGTGTCTTTCAATCCAAGTTGACACTCAGTATTAACCATCATAATAAGAATTAACCAAAAATTAGAGCCAAACTTAAGGAGATACAGACATGAAAAACCATTCAACAGATCAACAAATCCAGGATCTGGTTTCTGAAAAAATTAATAAAATAGATAAACCACTAGCTATACTAATAAGAAAAGAAAGAAGATTCGAATAAACGCTGTCAGAAATGACAAGGGGGATATTACCACTGACCCCACAGAAATACAAACCATCCGAGAATACTATAAACACTTCTATGCAAATAAATTGGAAAATCTAGAAGAAATGGATACATTCCTGGGCACATACACCTTCCCAAGACTGAACCAGGAAGAAATTGAATCCCTAAACAGACCAATAATGAGCTCTGAAATTGAGGCAGTATTAAGTAGCCTACCAATTAAAAAAAGACAAGGACCAGATGGAATCACAGCTGAATTCTACCCAATATATGAAGAAGAGCTGGTAGCATTTCTACTGAAACTATTCCAAAAAAATTGAAAAGGACACACTTCTTACTAATTCATTCTAGAGGCCAACATAATCCTGATACCAAAAACCAACAGAGAGACAACAAAGAAGAAAACTTCAGGCCAATATCCTTCATGAAAATCCATGCAAAAATCCTCAACACAATACTGGCAAACTGAATCCAACAGCGCAACAGAAAACGTATCCACTACAATTAAATAGGCTTAATCCCTGTCATGCAAGTTTGGTTCAACATATGCATATCAATAAATGTGACTCATCATATAAACAGAAATAAAGACAAATACCACATGATTATCTCAACAGATGCAGAAACATCTTTTGATAAAATTCAACATTCATGTTAAAAACTCTCAGTAAGCTAGGTATTGAAGAAACATACCTCCAAATGATAAGAGCCATATATGACAAATCCACAGCCAACATCATACTGAATGGGCAAAAGCTGAAAGCATTTCCATTGAAAACTGGCACAACACAAGGATGTCTTCTCTCCCTACTCCTATTCAACATAGTATTGGAAGTCCTGGCCAGGACAATCAGTCATGAGAAAGAAATAAAGCACATCCAAATAGTATGAATAGAAGTAAAACTACCCCTTTTTGCAGACAACATAATCCTATATCTACAAAACCCCATAGTCTCAGCCCAAAAGTTTTTTAAGCTGATGAGCACCTTCAGGAAAGTGTCAGGATACAAAATCAATTTGCCAAAATCACTTACATTGCTATACACCAATAAAAGTCCAGCCAAGAGCCACATCAGAAATGAACTCCCATTCACAACTGCCACAAAAAGAATAAAAACCTAGGATTAGAGCTAACTAGGAAGGTGAAAGATTTCTACAAGGAGAACTACAAGCTACTGGTCAAAGAAATCAAAGATGACACAAACAAATAGAAAAACATTCCATGCTCATATAATCAATATTGTTAAAATGGCCAACTGCCCAGAACAGTTTACAGATTAATGCTATTACTCTTAAACTTCCATTGAAATTCTTCACAGAACTAGAAGATACTATTTTAAAATTCATATGTAACCAAAAAAGAGCCCAAATACCCAAGGCAATACTAAGGAAAAAGAACAAAGCTGGAGGCATCATGCTACCCACCTTCAAACTATATTACAGGGCTACAGTAACCAAAACAGCATGGTACTTGTACAAACGCAGACACATTAGACCAATGAAACAGAATGAGGAACCCAGAAATAAGACTACACACTGATCTTTGACAAACCTGACCAAAACAAGCAATGGGGAAACAATTCCCTTTTCAATCAATGATACTGCAATAACTGACTGGCCATATGTACAAAACTGAAATTTTACCCCTTCTTTACACCAGAAACAAAGATCAAATCAAGATGAATTAAAGACTCAAATGTAAAACCAAAACTATAAAAATCCTGGAAAACAATCTACATAGTACCATTCAGGACATAGGCGCAGGCAAAGATTTCATGATGAAGACACCAAAAGGAATTGCAACAAAAGTAAAAAATGACAAATGGGATCTAATTAAACTAAAGAGCTTTTGCACACAGCAAGAAAAAAAAACTATACATGGAGTAAACAGACAAACTACTAAATGGGAGAAAATTTTTGCAAACTATACATCTGACAAACATCTAATATCCAGCATCTATAAGGAACTTAAGTTTCTGAGAAAAAGAAAAAACAAACAACCCAATTAAAAAGTGGGCAATGGACATGAACAATTTCCAATGGGGAAAATTGATGGAGACATCAATCATATGAAAAAAGCTCAATATCACTGAATATTAGAGAATTGCAAATCAAAACTACAATGGGATACCATCTCACATCAGTCAGAATGGCTACTATTAGAAAGTTAAAAAAATAAAAAACAATGCTGGCGAGGTTGTAGAGAGAAAGGGTCACTTATACACTGTTGTTTGGAGTGTAGATTAGTTCACTCATTGTGGAAGACAGTATGGCAATTCCTCAAAGAGCTAAAGACAGAAATACTATTTGACCCAGCAATCCCATTCCTGGGTATATACCCAAAGGTGTAAAAATCATTCTGTTATAAGGACACATGCACACATATGTTCACTGCAGTACTGTTCACAATAGCAAAGACATGGAATCAACCTAAATGCTCATCAATAATAAACTGGATAAAGAAAATGTGGTACATATACATCACGGAATATTTGCAACCATAAAAAAGAACAAGATCATGCCCTTTGTAGGGACATGGATGGAGCTGGAGGCCATTATCCTTAGCAAACTAATGAAGGAACAGAAAACTAAATACGCGTTTTCACTTATAAGTGGGAGCTAAATAATAAGAACACATGGATACACAGAGGGGAACAACATATACTGGGGCATATTGGATGGTGGAGGGTAGAAGGGTGAGAGGAGAGAGATCAGGAAAAATAACTAACAGGTACTAGGCTTAATACCTGGATGATGAAATAATCTATACAACAATCCTCCATGACACAAGTTTATCTATGTAACAAACCTGCACATGTAACCGTGAACTTAAAATAAAAGAAAAAAAAAATAGGAGAAAGGGGCCACATACCAAAAAATGGAGGTGGCCTCTAGAAGCTGGAAAAGGCAAGGAAACACATTCCATATAGATGCTCCAGAAGTGCAATCCTCTTGGTTTTGGTCCAGTGAAGGCCATTTTCAATTTCTGGCTTTCAGAATTCTAAGAAAGACAGTGCTATATTAAGCCACTAAGTTTGTAGTATTTTGTTACAGCACAATAGAAAATAATACAGATATATCCTCCTTTTCTGGTCTCTCTTTTCTTAATACTGGAACATTTCAATAATCTATTCTTAATTTTTCTTCCCTTCTCTTCCTTTTTCTCTCCTCTCTTCTATCCTCCCATTCCCTGCCCTCCTCTCCTTCATTTTCATTCACTCTCTTGATGATCCCTTTCAGGAGCATGGCTGTGGGAAGCATCTAAATGTTAATGACTTCTAAATCCCTATTTTCTGGCAGAATGCCACTCCTGCTCTTCAAATTAGTATCTCCAACTGGGTGTAGTACTCATCATAAAAATCACCAATTTTTAAAATATTTAACCTCCTCCCATACACGGTCTTCCCTGTGTCCATTAATGGTATCTTTATTCTTTTAGTTCCTCAATCCAAAAAATTTGTAGTCATCTATGAACTTTTTCCTTTTCTCACATCCCACATGCAACCTGTCAATAAATCCTGTTGGCTCTACCCTCAAAATATTTCTAAAATCACAATGTTCTTAACCAACATTGAAACAATTTTTCCCCTATTATCAGATTTACTGGATTTTTGCAAAAGTCTTCTACACTGATCTTCATGGCAATCCCTTTTTAATCTGTAGTTTAATTTCAATATTGTTGCCAGAGTGATTACTAAAACGAGCCTCCAAATGGCTTTCTCTTGCTTTCTATAAAGGCCCATACCGACATGATGATGTACACACATCTATGTATCTATCTCCCCACTGTTTCTCAGATGTCATCTTCTTCTACTTTCATATATGCTTTTATTAATTACAGGAAAAGGAGCCCTCTTGTTTTTCCATGCTTTCTGGAGGAATGGTGCTAGAAAAGAACACCCTGCTGAGATTGCCCTTCTGTCAAGCATCTATGGGACTTACTCCTTGACCTCCATTAAGTCTTTTTCCAAATACCTGCTCTTTCAATGAGGCCCTTCCTTACCTTCACAGTATAAATCATAATGTTCTCAACCTGTCACTTCCTATCTACTTTTTCTACTTAATTTTCCTTGATAGCTGTTATCCCCATCTCACATTTTCTATAGTTTATGTGTGTGTTTGCTTCTTGTCTACTGCTATCCACTAGAATGCAACCTTCATTAGGCTTTAGATTTATCTGTTTAATTTCCTGCTACTTATTCAATGTCAAGAACAGTGTCTGGCACACAGTAGGGGCTTGATAAGTAATATTGCTCATATTTAAATAAATACATTTTCTCTGTATAGCCTTCCAAGCACAAATATACTGAGAATAAGATGAAGCATTATGTCCTCTTATAGATCAAGTTTCTATATCTTTTAGTAATAGATGTATGTTCTTTCATACACTTTTCATTCAAAAAGCATTTATTTATTCAATATTCATTGTTGTCAGGTTCCTCTGACAGGTATCATGAGAAACGCAACAAAGAATAAGGCTCAGTTTGAATTTTGAAAGATTATTCTCAAGTAGAGAGTTAAGAAAATGACAAAATGATGACAATACAGGGAAGACTGTGGTAAGAACCATAATAGAAGCAAAAATGTGAGGAAACTTTTTAGGTTGAGAATAATTTATTGAAAAAACTTTAATCATAAAAAATATTCAAAAAATTAACATTGAACTCCAGTCTGAGTTACTGTAGAATCGGTCTCTAAATTAAGGGTTATGTTTACTCTCTACTTCTTTCCAAGGACAGTCTCATGGATAATATATTAATTACTACTAGCTCCAGGAAAATTAGATTGCTCATGACCTTAAACATACACAAGGCATGCCAATTTATTTATATTTAGCCATGATATAGATTAATCTTATTCCCTATAGTGAGGCAAGATGTGTCAAACACTATACAACATCATTATATTGTTATGTGGGTCTAAAAGCACTTTTTTTTCCCCAACAGATTAAATCACTTTCACATAATATTTTCTGATGTTCCCCTAAGATAGATAGAGGCTGCTCACATCATAGATTTATCTTAGACTCACCAGGGCCAAAAATAAAACTGCTTACTTAGGCATCCCTCTTGTAAATATTCATCATCATGCCACAAGTTAAATCCAGGGACAGAAAGTACATGGACCGGGACCAATCCATCACTTTTACTCAAAGAAGCATATATCCTGAGTACTGCAAGTAGCAGCATTTTGTTTAGATATGGAGGTTGGCATTAGTATTATTGAAGCTCTCAGGATTACTGGAAGCATAATTTAACATGGTTTATGTAGATTTCTTTTATAGTTTTTATGCGCCAAACTTCTAAATATCACATAAATATATGGATAATAGAAAAACATGCATTAAGTTAATAGTGAGAGTCTATAATTGCCAGTAAAAGCAAATCAGTTAGATTAAATGGTTACAAAACAGTCATACAGAAAATTAATTCCAGTAGTGATAATCATTATTATCTGAAATTCATCATCAGGAGAGAGGCATGTTGGAATATTAACAAAAAACTCTGCATATGTTCAAATTCACAGTCTTCCCTATTTTCACTCCCATTACCCTAGTCCACTCTTAATGTGCTTCATCTTGTAGAGTGAAAGCGGTGATTGTCATAATTCGCATTAGTTAAGTGTACAAAGTAGGAAAATATTATTTTCTATTAAGCAGTATACAGTAGAAGCTGCATTGAGTTAGGAATATGACTCAGGTGTTTGTCCCATTTCTGTCATTTACTAGTTGTAAGATCTCCTGCAAATCATTAAACTTGATAGAGTTTTTATTTCCTTGAACAGAAAATAATAAATATATCTTTCCTGTCCACCTTAAAAGATTGCAAAAATTCAATGAAATCGAATATTTACAATTTGTTTTTACAGTCCTAAAACTATTGAAATGCGAAGCATCTTTTATTGCATCATTTTAAACTTTAAATTACTTGCCATTACTTTTCATATTAATGCAGTGTAGCTTAAAGGCTGCTGCGAAAACCAACTTAGCAAATAGCTCTGATTCAGGGTCATATCTGAACACCCTCAATGAAATGCTGGTAGCATAATAGTTACCACAGTTACTTCTTCCTCATATTGACCCTTCATTAAAAATGACACCTTAGTTTTGACTTTTAATACTTGAATTTCTGTTGTACTTTCTCTAATCCTTTTCTTGGAGATTTCACATACGTCCATATCTTACACTATCAAATCTTATAGGGCAGCATTATAATCACCAACCTTTGACCTAGGCAAAGCGAAATTCATTATTTTCCACTAATTTTGCAATTTCTTTTTTGCTCAACATTATGAAATAATTTTGGCATCTCTTTCTCTATCACCTCTTCTACTTGATCAATCTCGTACACCCCTTATTGTATCCAGGTCTTACTGCCACAGTGGTACACATTGGCAAGCACACTGGGATTACCTCCATCAGTAAAATATATTGTCCAATTATAAATATGTGGCTTTACTTGCCTGTCTATTGGACTCTTCTTAACTAAAGAGAACTTTGTTTCTCCTGATGTTAGCACAAGTGTTGGTACAAGATATCTACTCAGATGCCTGTTGAATTAGTGCACAAATGACTTGTTTCCTTCTAGTTTCTTTTTTTATAACTCATAAATTTATCCATCTTTCATTTCGTGTTTTGATTAAATCTTAGTTTTGCAGCCAAACTTTAGTTTAAATCTAGTGCAACTGACCAATTCATTTTCCCCCTCAACCTTGCACTTTCTTTTTTCTTCTAGAAACACAACATCATGGAAGCTTTTTCACAATCTCTTTTCCTCAGAGCTGGATAGAGTGTGCTTTGCTTGTGTTGGGGGAAAGCAGAAAGTATCTATGTCAGATGATTTTTTCAACGTTAGAGAGTAAACTGTGAATCAAATCTAGGTCTTCTGAAACACACTCTAAAGTTCCATTCATTTGTCCTATGTTTATTTTTAAATAAATTGTTTCAAGGTATCATTTACACAAAATGAAATGCACACAACTTAGGTAAACACTTTTATGAGCTTTGACAATTTTGTACACCTAGGTAATTACCCTGATTCAATATATAGAATGTTTTTATTACCCCATAGTTTCTTTCACCACTTTGCAGTCAGTTCTACCCTCATTTTTGCCCCCAAGCAACCTGTGATCTATAGACAGACCTTTACCTTCTACTCAGGTACAAGTGGGAAATTTCAAGAAACCTAGGTTCTTACAGTGTTTTACCAGCTCTCTCTACTGAGAAAACTTGACACTGTACACACTTTAAAGGAAGACCGTTTAACAGCATCCAATTGTTTATCATAGAGCAGACATTGAAGGGTGCATTCAGAGCTGAGAAGTAATACATCAAATAAATGGCATATATGATATGTCTTTATAAGAAGCTGACAAATTACATGAGAGATTAAGTTTGAAACACATTCCATTCAACACTTAGTATGACAATTCCTATAATTCTAGCCATTCTCATGGCTCTGTAGTGGTATCTCATTGTGTTTATAATCTGGATTTCTCTGATGTCTAATAATGCTAAACATCTTTTCATATTTCTCTGGCCATTTGTCTATCTTATTTTGTTAGCTGTCTGCTCAAGTATTTTGCTCAATTTTTAATTGGCTGTTTGTCTTATGCTTGAGTTTTAAGAATTATTTAGATATTCTGGATAGACCAAAAGTATTAGGCATAAGTGTGCTTATTGAGTTTCAAAATCATTAAGGTTTTATCAGCCACTTCTCAGAGAAAAAATTATGTGTATTTTAAATATTTGTGTATATATAAGTATATAAACATATATATATATACACACACACCCATATATTTTGCCCAAGATGCAGAACCTGATTAATATGTATTTGCAGGAAATGAGAAAGCATGTGCCAAAGTGGATGTTGATGTGCTGGACTGAGCTGAAGGAACGGCTGCGACATACAGGGCTGGTGTGGGGAGATTTTAATCATATGGAGCACTCATGTGTTACAGAGGATTAAATATATTTGCAATAACACTTGCAGCCAGACCTAAAAGTCAACTGGGATCACTACTGGAAATCTGAAAATAAAAATTACTTACAGCAAAAGAAATGGCAAAGTTTTTGATATAGTACTGAAGAAGGGATCAGAAAACTCAGAAAAGTGGGACTATTAAGATGGATTTTCATTTTGTAAGCACTAAGAATGCACCACCTGAACATGTTGCTCAGCAAGACCTTTCACTAGGTCAATAAGAAATTAACTGATGAAGAAGACAACAGAATCTTTGAGAAGTTTGGTGGTAGCTATCCTTTGCAGGACAAGGTTTACAGTAGGAGATGCTTCTGTGGAACCAGGCTCCTTAATATAAACCAGAGATGAGGAGATCCCAGAATGCCAGAAGCTAGATGTCAACACTTAATCCATATATGCAGGGTAGATGTGATCAACATAAAAGGCAGCAAGTTTGGAGTGATAATAAAGATGCCTCAACACACAGGCATATGTTGAAGAGCTATTAATGTTCCTCAGGAAGACAGACATGTAAGATGTTGCTCATTTTGCAAAATAAAATCTATTTTCGGGAAGCAGAAAACTATCATCAAAAGCTACAATAAAAATTGTTCTCCTTCACTGAGTTTCAAGACCTAACTCTATTCACTGACCCAGAATTCCTTGAGAAGGGAACTGTCCTGCTAATGTAACATGTTAAAAAAAATGCCTACTATTTTCCCCAAAGGGACCTGAGCCAGTTTCAATGGCACCTATGCCCTAGAGAATGGGAAATATTTTGACTTTTCAAGACAGGACATATAAGGTCTGAAACAAGATTAATACTATGGAATGCAATATTCCATCATTTCTGATTGGAATGGGGCTAATAGAGGTCAGATGATAAATGATTTTTTTTGGCCAAAATGTATAACACAGTGTTTCCAGTGGATTCATAGACCCAGCCTGCAGTGAGTTGTCTGCTCTCCAGATGTATAATGTGAAGATATACTTGGTAACTTGGAAAATCCTTATTTAGGTTTCATGACCTGTGAAGCAAGATGAAATATTATAAGAAGGACCAAGTATAAGTACCCCCTGGTTCTGGAATAATGTCACCTGTTCTGCAACAGAACACTATTCAATGTTTGAAACTCTGACAACAAATTACGCTGTGACTGAAGCTGCCCATCATGAGGTGGCTATAATGAGTTCTCCCCAAACAGGAAATCAGGCACAACTAAAACCATTTTATTTGAATGGTGCATTTAAATTACCAACAGAGCAGGTTCAAAAGGCATGAATTAAAAGGTGACCCAAATAGCCATGTTACCTATATGTCTCACCAAAACCTCTTCCTCAACTCATACCCGTGGTCTCATGTAATGACCTGTTCAACAGTCTTAATGAAAAAGAAACAATTTGAACTCAGTCCACAAATGTGATGGTGCTATCTATAAGAAGACTGCATTCATTACTGTACCATTCCATTGTATTAGTACCTGGGCAAAAATGATATTAGTGTAAAGAAATATGGTAAGCAGAGCATGAAGCAATATATCCATTTAATTCATATATGGAGAGAAATACCTCACGTAAAAATGTGCATGGACTTCTGAGCAGTGAAAACCACCTTGTCTGGTTGGTAAGGAGCTAGACATAAACTGATTTAGAGGATAAAAGACAAGGTTGTGTGGGTAAGAATTATGTGGCTGGAATAATAAAATTGAACGGAAATCATACAAATAGTCTTGTCTAGCATTAATGTCCTCAGAGAGCATCCACTTCAGAGGGAATTCTCCAAAGCTAGATAGATAGAATCATTGGTTCTGTGGATGCCAGTTAGCCTCTCTTCTTGGCCATACAAGTGTTGGCTCAATAGGGCAATGAACATATATGTCATTGTAGCAGAGGAGAATCTACACATTAGTTTAACAGCCTGAGTTCCATCTTATCAAGGCTGATCTAGCTATTGCTGCTGCCAGCAGTTGAAACAAAGATTGAGCCCTAGACATGGCACAATTTGAGAAGACCTGTTATCTACTTGAAGATGTGACTCATCAGATCCCTTCCAACCTGGAGGGTGGAGCAATTCACTCTCACTCAGAAGTGCTACTTACTGCAAAATGAGTTTTCCTTCCATTAGCAGCACTAACATGTGGCTTTTTATAATAATTCATCTGTTGATATGTTATCCCATGCAATGTTGCCTCAGCCCAAAGGACAATTTCACAGCAAAGAAAATATTTCAATAGGCCCAAGTACTTGATCGTATACCTTATATTTAAGAAACAGGACTAATGATATGCCACAATGGTCTGTTAAAGTTCATTTAGGGTGTCAGCTTGAGGACAGCAATGTTTCAGAGTTAGGATTTTATTCTTAAAGGCATGTTAAATATGCTGAAATACCAGCTAATGTGTGGTACTGTGTTCTCAATAGCCAGGATTCACAGGTTTTTAAATTAAGAGGTAAAAGTTACAGTGGCCTTCTCTAGTAGTTGCTGTTGGTATATGTAATGAAGAGACTCAATTCATTTTTTAATGTTTCATTCTTGTTAAAAGTTGTTTTGCCCAGAAATGCCTGGAAGGCTATGCTCCGTTCTTGGACTGTCCCCTCACCAATAACTGAATGAAATGGGGTTCAGAAGTCCAGCCTCATTTCTTCTAAATGAGACAATTTTGTGGTACCATAGAGTTCCTTATGGAGTCAGGCTAAGGCTAGACTTAAGCTAAACACACTTCTTTGCCTAGCTTCTTTCTTTGACATACTCTCATTCCTTTACATATTCTGCATTAAGAGCAAACATTCCAGAAATCTATCTCATGATATTCTCATCTCAGGCTCTGCTTATTTGGGCTCTGAACTAAAACAGTTAATAACACAAAGGATCCTAAGAAACAGACTCTAAGAACAGGATCCTAGAGTTGACTCACTCTCTGGCCATATAACTGAGGACCCCATTACTGGTGAAAGGTAAAATTTTGATGATCCCTGGCATGACAAAGTACAATTGCTAAAATGTTCACATTTAGTGAACTGGAAGGGGATGCACAGTTTGATGCTATAGCTCAGGCACTTGAGAAGTAGAGGAGGTTAAAGTCTGTGCCTACTGCTGAGCATCATAAGTGCTTTCTATAGAGAAAATACCTGACTCAGATGAACTGTTGTCCTATATAATACTCTTTGATAACATTTGAATAGATTCTTATTTCCTGGAACCAGATGGCAGGATGAGCTGAATTTGGGATGCATAATTGCAAGAATGGCTGAATTAACAGGAGGCTAGGTTTTCAGCCAATGTTGGCCCTGATATTACAATTGATTTAAATGAGCACTCTCAAGAACACTGAAAGCTCTGATTACACTGAATTTCCTGGGTTTTCAGAAGTTTCCTACTCTCTTTGTTAGATGATAGTAGACCCTGTTTTGATTGAAGACTAGACAGGTACCTTACAGACAATGCTTTTCTCCCTTACAATCGACATATCTCTCTTCTGTTGGCCACTATCAAGCTGGCTAACTGCACTGGTTACTAACTTATCTGATATCAGTGACACAGAACATCCATTCATGCAGTAAGTTATATAAACTGGATTTATTATTTATAGACAGGCAACAAGAAACAATGGAAGCATAAGATTCTTGTGAGCTGGTCCCCCAGGCTCCGGTAAACTGCCCAGGGTATCCCTACTCTGTATACTCTACTTGCACCACTACTGAGGAATTCCAAAATGCATCCCACCCAGGTTATTTACCTCAGGGGAAACAAGACATGCTGGGTGAATGCATTGAAGGACATGCTGTTTCTAAGAGAGTGGAAAACAGCCCTGGGCTCTTCTGACTAGTCCCTCCCCAGTCTCAGGATGTGGTATTCCCAGGATAGTCTAGTTATTCTTGAAAACTAAAAGCAAGAAACAGGAGAGAATTGTGTCAGTCCAAGTATGAAGCCACCTAGAAAACCGTTTAGCCACCAAATAAATAAATTGAGTCAAATCCAAGCAAGTCCCAAGAAGGAAGCACCAAAGTTGCTAAGGGAGGAGAATAATTATATTCCACAAGTCACGCCAGGTTATGGTTAACAACTACTGGGGAAAAAATGGGAGTGTGCCTACAAATAGATCCTGAGGGTGCTGCAGAAGGGAGATTTTTTTAGTGTGGGAGAACTCTCCCTTGCCACAAGATTTAACATCATTTTAAGGGCTCTGGGAGACAGTTGTAACGCTCTTTTCAGATGACTGATGGAAGCTTGGAAAATGGCTAGCACTCTCATTAGATTAGATGCTAAAATTCTCATGGTAAACCACAAAGGATGAGAATAAAGGCTCACAGAAGTGGGTATGCTAAAATGGATTTATTATGAAAGACCAAGATATCAGAAGCTGACAATATTCTTCAGGAGGGCTAGGAGGTTTCTTTGTTTACCAAGTGATAAGGTGCTGATACCAACTATGTTGAAAAATGAAGTGGCTGCTGTCTTCTATAGCCAATTGAATGCAATTTCTGCCTCTTTTAAATTTCCATAGCATTTGATTACACACGGTTTATATGAACCTAACTAAATCAAACATGTTTTATTATTATTTGTGTTCTTGTCTTCCTTATTCTCCCATTCCCACCTGTTTGACTCTGAGTACCTAGCACTATCCCTGTTACACAGTAACTATTAAACCCATCTTGGTCAAACTTTTAAACACAAAGTCAAATTATACCACCGGAAGCACTTAGCATATCTTCTTAAAAATGGTAGGTACTTTATAAATAATTGTGAGACTAGACTGAGGTTACATTACCAAATTAATCTTCCTATAATGCATTATAACATTAGTACCCTACACAAATGTCTAAAACAGTTTTCTATTAAGTTACAGAATAAAATTAAACTCCTGTGTTATAGTCAGAGCCTTACATCTGTTCCTAACTTCTACATATGCTACCAAACATTCTATCTAGTCTCAATGTTTAATTCTACTCTAAATTAACTTTGTACTTGAACCAATGAAACTTTTACTCTCCCCACTTGTTCCCTGCCCTTTGCCCTTTCTTCAATTTTGTGCATATTTATATTTTATTTTCATATTCATTATCTAACTAGTCTTGAAAAATAGTCAAGCAGGGAATTAATAAAATACTTACTTTGTGCCACATACACAGTACATTATTTCATGTGGCTCTATTGTATGAGTGCATGTGTGTGTGTATATTCCAAGGAGTTGGGCGGTGGGCAGAAGGAGCTGATAATCCCTATATTATTTCATTGCTATAATCTTTCTCTTTATTCTCATTCCAACTTGATCTCTTGAGACTGTTCTTTATTATTATTATTATTATTATACTTTAAGTTCTAGGGTACATATGCACAATGTGCAGGTTTGTTACATATGTATATATGTGCCATGTTGGTGTGCTGCACCCATTAACTTGTCATTTACATTAGGTATATCTCCTAATGCTATCTCTCCCCCCTTCCCCCCACCCTACGACAGGCCCTGGTGTGTGATGTTCCCCTTCCTCTGTCCAAGTGTTCTCATCGTTCAATTCCCACCTATGAGTGAGAACACGCAGTGTTTGGTTTTTTGTCCTTGCGACAGTTTGCTGAGAATGATGGTTTCCAGCTTCATCCATGTCCCTACAAAGGACATGAACTCATCCTTTTTTATGGCTGTATAGTATTCCATGGTGTATATGTGCCACATTTTCTTAATCCAGTCTATCATTGATGGACATTTGGGCTGGTTCCAAGTCTTTGCTATTGTGAATAGTGCCACAATAATCATATGTGTGCATGTGTCTTTATAGCAGCATGATTTATAATCCTTTGGGTATATACACAGTAATGGGATGGCTGGGTCAAATGGCATTTCCAGTTCTAGATCCCTGAGGAATCGCCACACTGACTTCCACAGTGGTTGAACTAGTTTACAGTGCCACCAACAGTGTAAAAGTTTTCCTATTTTTCCACATCCGCTCCAGCACCTGTTGTTTCCTGACTTTTTAATGATTGCCATTCTAACTGGTGTGAGATGGTATCTCATTGTGGTTTTGATTTGCATTTCTCTGATGGCCAGTGATGATGAGCATTTTTTCATGTGTCTGTTGGCTGCATAGATGTCTTCTTTTGAGAAATGTGTGTTCATATCCTTCGCCCACTTTTTGATGGTTTTTTTTTTTCTTGTAAATTTGTTTGAGTTCATTGTAGATTCTGGATATTAGGCCTTTGTCAGATGAGTAGATTGCAAAAATTTTCTCCCATTCTGTAGGTTGCCTGTTCACTCTGATGGTAGTTTCTTTTGCTGTGAAGAAGCTCTTTACTTTAATTAGATCCCATTTGTCAATTTTGGCTTTTGTTGCCATTGCTTTTGGTGTTTTAGACATGAAGTCCTTGCCCACGCCTATGTCATGAATGTTATTGCCTAGGTTTTCTTCTAGGGTTATTATGGTTTTAGGTCGAACATTTAAGTCTTTAATCCATCTTGAATTAATTTTTGTGTAAGGTGTAAGGAAGGGATCCAGTTTCAGCTTTCTACCTATGGCTAGCCAGTTTTCCCAGCATCATTTATTAAATAGGGAATCCTTTCCCCATTTCTTGTTTTTGTCAGCTTTGTCAAAGATCAGATGGTTGTAGATGTGTGGTATTATTTCTGAGGGCTCTGTTCTGTTCCATTGGTCTATATCTCTGTTTTGGTACCAGTACCATGATGTTTTGGTTACTGTAGCCTTGTAGTATAGTTTGAAGTCAGGTAGCGTGATGCCACTAGCTTTGCTCTTTTGGCTTAGCATTGTCTTGGCAAGGCAGGCTCTTTTTTTGATTCCATATGAACTTTAAAGTAGGTTTTTCCAATTCTGTGAAGAAAGTCATTGGTAGCTTCATGGGAATAGCATTGAATCTATAAATTACCTTGGGTAGTATGGCCATTTTCATGATATTGATTCTTCCTATCCATGAGCATGGAATGTTCTTCCATTTGTTTGTGTCCTCTTTTATTTTGTTGAGCAGTGGTTTGTAGTTCTCCTTGAAGAGGTCCTTCACATCCCTTGTAAGTTGGATTCCTAGGTATTTTATTCTCTTTGAAGCAATTGTGAATGGGAGTTCACTCATGATTTGGCTCTCTGTTTGTCTGTTATTGGTGTAGAGGAATGCCTGTGATTTTTGCACATTGATTTTGTATCCTGAGACTTTGCTGAAGTTGCCTATCAGCTTAAGGAGATTTTGGGCTGAGACAATGGGGTTTTCTAGATATACAATCATGTCATCTGCAGACAGGGACAATTTGACTTCCTCTTTTCCTAACTGAATACCCTTTGTTTCTTTCTCCTGCCTGATTGCCCTGGCCAGAACTCCCAACACTATGATGAATAGGAGTGTTGAGAGAGGGCATCCCTGTCTTGTGCCAGTTTTCAAAGGGAATGCTTCTAGTTTTTGCCCATTCAGTATGATATTGGCTGTGGGTTTGTCATAAATAGCTCTTATTATTTTGAGATATGTCCCATCAATACCTAATTTATTGAGAGCTTTTAGCTTGAAGTGTTGTTGAATTTTGTCAAAGGCCTTTTCTGCATCTATTGAGATAATCATGTGGTTTTCGTCTTTGGTTCTGTTTATATGCTGGATTACGTTTACCGATTTGCGTGTGTTGAACCAGCCTTGCATCCCAGGGATGAAGCCCACTTGACCATGGTGGATAAGCTTTTTGATGTGCTGCTGGATTCAGTTTGCCAGTATTTTATTGAGAATTTTTGCATCGGTGTTCATCAGGGATATTGGTCTAAAATTCTTCTTTGTTGTGTCCCTGCCAGGCTTTGGTATCAGGATGATGCTGGCCTCATAAAATGAGTTACGGAGGATTCCCTCTTTTTCTATTGATTGGAATAGTTTCAGAAGGAATGGTACCAGCTCCTCCTTGTACCTGTGGTAGATTTCGGCTGTGAATCCATCTGGTCCTGGACTTTTTTTGGTTGGTAAGCTATTAATTATTCAGGACATAGGCATGGGCAAGGACTTCATGTCTAAAACACCAAAAGCAATGGCAACAAAAGCCAAAATTGACAAATGGGATCTAATTAAACTAAAGAGCTTCTGCACAGCAAAAGAAACTACCATCAGAGTGAACAGGCAACCTACAGAATGGGAGAAAATTTTTGCAATCTACTCATCTGACAAAGGCCTAATATCCAGAATTTACAATGAACTCAAACAAATTTATGAGAAAAAAAAACCATCAAAAAGTGGGCAAAGGATATGAACACACATTTCTCAAAAGAAGACATTTATGCAGCCAACAGACACATGAAAAAATGCTCATCATCACTGGCCATCAGAGAAATGCAAATCAAAACCACAATGAGATACCATCTCACACCAGTTAGAATGGTGATCATTAAAAAGTCAGGAAACAACAGGTGCTGGAGCGGATGTGGAAAAATAGGAACACTTTTACACTGTTGGTGGCACTGTAAACTAGTTCAATCATTGTGGAAGTCAGTGTGGCGATTCCTCAGGGATCTAGAACGAGAAATACCATTCGACCCAGCCATCCCATTACTGTGTATATACCCGAAGGATTATAAATCATGCTGCTATAAAGACACATGCACACGTATGATTATTGCGGCACTATTCACAATAGCAAAGACTTGGAACCAACCCAAATGTCCAACAATGATAGACTGGATTAAGAAAATGTGGCACATATACACCATGGAATACTATGCAGCCATGAAAAATGATGAGTTCCTGTCCTTTGTAGGGACATGGATGAACCTGGAAACCATCATTCTCAGCAAACTATCGCAAGGACAAAAAACCAAACACTGCATGTTCTCACTCATAGGTGGGAATTGAACAATGAGAACACATGGACACAGGAAGGGGAACATCACACACCCGGGCCTGTTTTGGGGTGGTGGGAGGGGGGAGGGATAGTATTAGGAGATATACCTAATGTTAAATGACGAGTTAATGGGTGCAACACACCAACATGGCACATGTATACATATGTAACAAACCTGCACGTTGTGTACAAATACCCTAAAATTTAAAGTATAATAAAAAAGCAAGAAGAAAAAAGAAAAAAAAAAGTCAGGAAACGTGCTGGAGAGGATGTGGAGAAATAGGAATGCTTTTACACTGTTGGTGGGACTGTAAACTAGTACAACCATTGTGGAAGACAGTGTGGCGATTCCTCAGGGATCTAGAGCTTCTCTAGTTCTTTTAATTGTGATGTTAGGGTGTTGACTTTAGATCTTTCCTGCTTACTCTTGTGGGCATTTAATGCTATAAATTTCCCTCTGCACACTGCTTTAAATGTGTCCCAGAGATTCTGATATGTTGTGTCTTTGTTCTCATTGGTTTCAAATAACATCTTTATTTCTGCCTTCATTTTGTTATGTACCCAGTAGTCATTCAGGAGCAGATTGTTCAGTTTCCATGTAGTTGAGCAGTTTTGAGTGAGTTTCTTAATCCTGAGTTCTAGTTTGATTGCACTGTGGTCTGAGAGACAGTTTGTTATAATTTCTGTTCTTTTACATTTGCTGAGGAGTGCTTCACTTCCAACTATGTGGTCAGTTTTGGAATAAGTGTGATGTGGTGCTGAGAAGAATGTATATTCTGTTGATTTGGGGTGGACAGTTCTGTAGATATCTATTAGGTCTGCTTGGTGCAGAGCTGAGTTCAATTCCTGGATATCCATTTTAACTTTCTGTCTCGTTGATCTGTCTAATGTTGACAGTGGGGTATTAAAGTCTCCCATTATTATTGTGTGGGAGACTGTTCTAATGAGATGCCTCTCTGTCTCACTGCTGTGTCATTGGCTGAAAAATTCCAGAGGCACTGTAAGAACATACTCTGTCTCCATCTCCACTACCTGTGCCTCTGTTTCACTAGACACTGGCAATTTTTATCTGAGCTATATTGGGCTATGCAGTTCTAATGTTCGACATGGATATGGTTAATTATTCAATTTATTATACAAAAATAAAAATATAAAAAATTTGAAATATTCAAAATATGAATCATTCTTGGAACAATAATTAGACAAGAATTTATCCTAGACATCCTTCTAATAAAGATACCACATGAGGTAAGAAAAATGTCCCTGAACATTATTCTTAAAAAATAGCAATGAGTTACCTAGAGTTGATAATTTAAATAAAGATCCACATATCAGACTAATAATATTGCACCAAAGTATAGTTTAGAATATGTAGCTCTTTGGGGCCCAATGGGTTGCATTCCAATTACCAGCTTTCTGTTCATCTAATTTCACTTGGTACTCATACCTTTGTTGTTTATTCCTTAATCTCCTCCCGTGGTGTTACACAAGTATCTACTACTGCCCATCTACTTGATATATTTAATTTCCAGTAACATTTTTAGTTGAGTTTGGTAACTGCTTTTACAATGACCTTTCTTCAGGATCAACTCCAGTCATCCATCATAATTCAGCCTAAATCTAATCTCTTTGGCAACTTTTTTTCTTCCAGGTGTATTAATCTATTTTTTAAAAAATTGTAATTAGTATATACTATCTTAAGTCCTGAAAAGTGGAAGTAGCAATTATTGTCTTCTGAATTTCATTCTTTCAGTACCTTTTTCTCATTAAAATATTTCTATGCATGTCTGTATAATTGTGTCTGTTTTTGAACATATATTGTAAGCCTTTACAGAGATAAATATTAATAACGTTATTTTGATTGATTAGGGAAAGGTATGCATTTCCTCAAAAACCAGCATATCACTAGGGAAACCTTCCCCCAACTCTTATGCCTTTGGTGTTTCAAACATTTTTATAAAAGCTTTCAAGACCCTACTTCTACCGCTAGTACTACCAGTAGTAGTAACAATAGAGCATTAATAACACCTGCATTTAATACTTGCAAAGTGTCAGCACTATACTAAGAACTTTACATACATTATCTCATTTAATGTTTCAATAACTATTAGTTTGCTAATCTTATTTAATGCACCATTTTATAACTATGCCATATATAAATATAAAAATAGAATTATTCAAAATATATATCATTCTTGGAACAATAGGCAAAAATTTCTCCTAGACATCCTTGTAATAAGGGATGCTTAATGCTCAATCACATAAGCCCCATAACAAACATATGAGGTATCATCTCTCTTTTCCAGATGGGGGCAACTAAGTCATAGGGAGGCTAAGTAACTTGCCCGACATCACATTTCTAAATATGAAATTAGGTATTATATATATTATATATGGCATAGTTATAAAATGGTGCATTCCATATTATATGCATTAATATTATCTATAATATATGTAGACACGAATGTATATATTACATATGAACACCAAAATCTATTACTCCAGTTAAATATATATACATATATATATATATATATAGTCCAGTTGAGTATATATTTTCTATTTGAATAACATAAAGCTAAAATATACTACAGATTTACCTACTTTTATGTATTTTTTCTTAATTTTGGCTGTAATGAACACCGTAGAAAGTCATTCTTTCTTTTTTTTTTTTTTCCTTGTTTCATGCTTCTCTTTTCTTCTTTCTTGCTCTTGGGGAAAAACTCACACCATCCATCTCATTACTCACAAAATGACTTACTGCAGTAAGTTCTAAAAACTATATACTACATCAGGATCATTTTTAATCACATTTGAGGCAACTTTTTCTATTCTATTTGGTATAATTATATTTGCACACTGTTTAATTTTTAAACTAATTATGTAACAAAAATCCCATTAAAATTTACATTATTTTTCAAATATAATTTGAAAAATTAAAATTTGAAATATAATTTGAAAACCTCCAAAAAATTCCCTACTTGCTTGGCAAGTTAGTTTGTACATATCCAATTTTAGATGTTGAGCATCAGCCAGTTTAATATGAGAGGAGACAGATATTTACATGCTTAAAAATATTTTGCCAGATGTGCCCTGATTGACCAAAAAAGTAACATTTCATTTGGAGAAAATGTGATAGACTGTGCTCAAACTGTTGGAATCCTTACCCATCCTTCAATGGTCGCTACTTATTATTATTCAACATGGAAGGGTAGAGTTATAAAATCATTGCCTACAATTGACAACTTGAATATATAGTTATACAGCATGGGGAATTTTATCTGTATGTTAAGACACATTTACATTCATAGAAAATTATCTGACAATAGTAATAGAAGTCAGTCTTAGATCCAGGCCACATTGATATAAAAGTTTATTTAACAAGCAAACAAAGATAAGGAACTGAAATGAGAAGACTTTCCTAATAAGAAAACCATAATATCCTATCTCAATTTTTGCTACCTACAATTTATTCTCCTTAAACCTTTAAAACTAAAAGATAAATAATTCAGCACAGTACTAATCAGTGATTTCATCAAGTACATTAACTGCCAGGCAGAATCTGAGAAAACATATGGATCAAAAGGCAGATCACACATTAAATGCAATTTTCTTACTCTTTTATTTAATACAATTAGTGAAGTAAGTGTAAGATAATAAAAAACACACCTTGGATCTAGCTTATAGTCAGCACTTTGCGCCCCTCTCAGGCTGGTTTATCTATAATCTAGTCACAAACCTCCAACATTCAACTACTCCACATATTAAATGGGGAATTTCTTGCCACATACACAAAGGTTCTGATGCTGGGCCAGATAATTGATGTGAAGTGTTCTAATATGTTTAGAAGATAAATGGTATAGAACATGATAAAAATACTAGTTAATGCATATAAAACCCTTCCTAGATACAAAAAAATATTCTGTGTGCGTCAACAAATGCTCACTCACTTAAGCCCCATAACAAACATATGAGGTATTATCTGTCTTTTCCCAGATGGGGGCAACTAAGTCATAGAGAGGCTAAGTAATTTGCCCGACATCACACGGAAATATCAAGATCTAAGATCTGAACCCAGGAAGGCAGACTTTGAAGTCGGTACTCTTAAGTTACGCAAGACACAACTGTGGTTGACTATAGTAGTTTATAAAAACAACACTTCAAACAAGTATCATTAATTTTTATGTTCAGATGCCATAACAAGTATTAATAGTCTGTTTTTCAGAGGTCTAGTTATCATGTTACAAGGAGATAAGGCACAATCATCTAACTTTCCTTGAAGCTTGGTAATGGAGCTACATTCACATTTAGCTCTACTTTGTTAAATGTAATAAAGCTCTACTTTGTTAAATGTAAATAAATTTAGCTCTACTTTGTTAAATGTAATGATACTTCAAATAAGTATCATTAATTTTTATGTTCAGATGCCATAGCAAGTATTAATAGTCTGTTTTTCAGAGGTCTAGTTATCATGTTACAAGGAGATAAGGCACAATCATCTAACTTTCCTTGAAGCTTGGTAATGGAGCTACATTCACATTTAGCTCTACTTTGTTAAATGTAATAAAGGTATGACCTACCCATTAGTACCATCATCAAAACACACACACACACAAAATTAGATTTAGTGCTATCAAAATTGTGTTTTGGGCATTGAGGTTACCTTCCTTACGTAAATAAAATAAAAAATAAAATAAACAATAAAAAATAAAATAAATTTAAAAAAAAACCTTGCCGGGGATGTGGTCATTCATTGGTGTACAAACACTTCCAACGGGTAGGAAACAAGAAAGCAATGTTCAACTAATTGTTTGAAGCTAGCATGTCTTGTATACCCAAACCAAAATAGATACAGTACAAAAAAGGAATATTGTAAGTCAATCTCACTAGTAAATATAGATACAAATGTTCTAACTAATTATTGGCAAACCACATCTAGTAAAAGATAATGCATCATGTTCTAGTTGAGTTTATCTTAGGAAAAAAATTATTCTTAGAAGAATGCATGTGTGAATGTGTGTATGTACAATTTGTGTTATTAATAGAGGATCATTAATGCAGAAAATTTTAATTTATCACCCATTTATTATAAAAAACTCTTAGCATACTAAGAATAGGCCCTATGTTCTTAACCTTATAAAGGGCATATAATTAGAAGTTGCAGCAAATATCTTAAATAGGAAGAAGGAATAAGAATTAAGAAATGTATTCATTTACTATGACTGCTGTAAGAAATTCCGACAACCTAGGTGGCTTAAAACAGTAGACATTTATTTTCTCGCAGTTCTGGAGGCCATAACTTTGCAATGTTTATTACTAGGCTAAAACTACAAAGTCAACAGGGCTATGCTCACTCCAGGTGCTCTAGGGAACAATGTTTCTTAGCTCTTTCAGCTCATCATGGCCACTGGTATTCTTTGCCTTGTGACTGCATCACTCCCATCTCTGCCTCCTTGGTCACACTGCATTCTCCTCTTAGGCCTGAGTCAAGTCTCAGTTTGCCTCTCTTTTATAAGGACATTTGTGACAGTATTGAGGGCCCACATGGATAACACAGGACAATCTACCCATCTCCAAATCTTTAACTTAATCACAACTGCAAAGAACCTATTTACCAAGTAACATTCAGATTATATACATATATGACTGGAGAATGGTGAACTTTTGAGAGGCCATTTCAGTCTGAAACATCTAGGGGAAAAAATAACCTTCAAAAAGTAGCTCCCTAAATTCCCTTAAGAGTCTATTTTAAACCTGAGCACATCCCAGTTAGAATGCTGTCAGAATGCTGAATCTAACCTTTTCTACACAAACTCTTTTGAAGAGATTGCTGTCTATAGAAACTACAATGAAATGCATATCTATTACATTATAGGTATTTTAATGTTGCTATCATATTAAGTATCTTGAGGAATAACATTTTAAAATACAACAATATAAACAAATAAAACAGGATATAAGTTCCATGAGGTCAGAGTTTTTATCTGTTTTGTTCAATCTTGTGTCCTGGTGCCTAGGAAAGTATCTGCTTATTAATATTTGTTGAAGGAATGAAATAAACATACACACAAATATGGTCCAAGTTATTGCAGCATGAAAAGACATACAGAGGGTTGACATCTGTCAAGTAACAGCAGATAGAGTATACTGACCCATTACCCATAAGTGAGGGGATTAAGTATACACTAGTGTGTGTGGACACAGCCACTGGCCTGACATTGGCTTTCCCCTGTCATAGGGCTAACCAGCAAGCCCTAGAGACTTAAAAAAAAAAATTAAGTGTTAACGAATGACATGCCCCATAAAGTAGTGATTAAAAACCACTTCAAAGGACATGATATACAAAATGGGCATGACAAAATAAAGTCCTGTAGAGATTCCATCTACCTTATAACCCACATGCAACAGGGCTGATGGAACAAAAAACCAGGGTATTCAAACAGCAGATAAAAGCACTTATAGGTACTCCTAACCTGGCCAGGTAGATGAAAGTATTGCCACAAGCTACCCTGTTACCCCATTTGCCAGGCAAAGAAAGCTAGATGGGCCCTCACTAAGAGAATGGAAAACAGTGAGATACGTTCTTGCCTCAGCTGGCCCCTACTAAGTGCATTATGGTTATGCACACCCCTTGAAACATCCAACCAAGAGATGGTCTGGTGCAGTGAAAATTAGCATGGGATCCCCTACCAGGTTCAGTGGGATACTTCGTCCTGCAGGGCTGAGAACCACACCTTACTGACTTGGACTCTCATCGTACTGCTAGACACTGGGCTTGAGGTAATAATGTACCAGTGGAGAGGCACTTGCACTTTGCAGAGGGGAGAAGTCATCAGGTTCCTGGTCTGGCATATAAGCCCCTCTGCAGTCAGAATCCTCATGGGAGGCACGCCTACTTTCCCTGGACAGCACATATGGTATGTTTCTCCTGGGAAGCCACCCCAGCAGCTACTGTTTTGACCACTCAAATACAATCCACCAGTATAATCCTTGTTGAAGGAGATGATCTGCCTTCACAAATGTGTATTAGAATTTTGTTTCACTGCCTCTAGCTTCCTGTTGCTAATATGAAATGTAAACATTACAGGACATAGTCTAAAAAAATGTGTTCTTATATTGGGCTGTGTCCTATGCCCAAATGATAAATACATCAGCTTATTAGGCTTATGGACAGGTGCTGCTGTTAGGAATCTCTGTTCAGACATGGAGGCTAAACTCTTTACAGAAACTTTCTGGGTTGCATTACAGTCATACGTTTTGGGGGAAAAAATGTGAGTACTTGAAATACTGCAGATATTACTAGGTAAGACCCCATCCAATGGCCCATTAACGATACTTTATCAAACAAGGGACACCCCTTCCCACTCTCATGTAATGCCACAAAAATAAAAATTTTTTAAAGTCTCAAATAGCCCAAAAATCAGTAGTAAGTATTAACAAAAAATGTACACAGGTCTGAAATAAATGTATGTAAATAACCCCAGGCTATGAAAAGTTGAGTCAAGTTGTCCCTCTCTGCCGGAAAGAAAATCACAGCAAAAACATAATTCCAAAGACCACTCCATACACAGAGTAGTGCCTCCTTCCACCCATAATATCATGGTTACCCTGCTAAACCCTGATTGGTATGCCACTGACAGGGTAAAATGATCAGACAAACACTGGGTGGCCCCTAATGAAACATGGTTGCTGTGTGGTTCCAACCTGTAGGCCTGGCTGCCCCCAGATGGATGGGATGTTGTACCCTCTGGTTCTGCTGGGCAATGGAACAGTTATGGAATAAACTGACTGCTGCTGCCAATCACCCATAGCTCAGAGCTGGATGGGAGGGTGATCTGCCTTCTACTGGTATGGTCATATAGCTGCCCTCTTTAGTCCTCAAATAAGCATAAGAAATATAATAGCTCGTATAAAGACATCAACTAATCTCACTAGACGAGCTCTAAAGGACAGCAGACAGGACATTCTAGCATTCAACACAGAAACCGCTTTCATGTAAAGACTATGGCACAAGGCAGCATCTGTGCCATTATCATAACAGAATGCTATCTATATGTTACAAATAAAACGTCACCACTCTAGTGCAACACATGGCATCATAGATAAATACTGTAAGTGATGCCGCCCCATCAATAGTTGTCATATTGATTTTAAAATCTTAGTAAATTGATAAAACAGTTGCTAATCATTATTTGCTTACTTCATTGCTTTGCGTTTTTTCCTTATGTGTCTCTATTGTTGCTGTGAAATCATCCTGTAATGTGGCATCAAGTTGCCAATAAGGCTATCACCCTCACTATAGAACCCATAGTGATACCCAAGGACTCTCATGGGGAGGAGGTATTTAAAACTGGAGGGTGATCATGAGGAATAGAGTGTTGTGAAGATGTTTTCTGCATATGTGACCACGAAGTGGAGGTAGGATGCAGCGACTGGAAGAAACATACAAGCATCAATTGCTGCTGCCCATAACATTCCCCCACCTTAGGAATGTTGGACAGATTATAGGAAATCCAAATAATATCTTTAAGTAGAGAGTACATAGATTAAGAATGCAAACAGATGGCTTAACACATTTGCAACTTTTTTTCTCTTTTATACCATGAAAAGAAAGAGGAAAGGGAAAAAGTCTAGACAGGTATCCATTACACACAGAGATGTGCCCTGTCTTACTGACACCCAAGACTGCCTTATAAATTCCCTCTGAATAAATATTTGACTACTTACCAACCTTGAATGGTCTGCCTCATTCTTTGTCCTGAGCTTATCAAGAGCAGTTCTTGGTTAGCACAGAGAGTTTTCCCAACACACAGGGTTGAGGCCCTCTAAGGATGCATAAATAGCCAAAGCAGAAAACCAGTCTTTTGGCCACATAAGATCTTAATTCCAACATAACTCCATAATTAATTGATAATATACAATATCATCTATTTTTTTTTACTATTGTTAAAAATTTGTTTATTGTTTCTCTCAAGTCAAGAATCTACTATAGCTGTTTATGGTCTATCATATTAGGCCTTACCGAGACCAGCTCAGTCGGGGAGACCCTAACCCAGTGGCGCTAGAGGAATTAAAGACACACACACAGAAATATAGAAGTGTGTAGTAGGAAATCAGGGGTCTCACAGCCTTCAGAGGTGAGAGCCCCAAACAGAGATTTACCCACGTATTTATTAACAGCAAGCCAGTCATTAGCATTGTTTCTATAGATATTAAATTAAAAGTATCCCTTATGGGAAATGAAGGGATGGGCCGAATTAAAGGAATAGGTTGGGCTAGTTAACTGCAGCAGGAGCATGTCCTTAAGGCACAGCTTGCTCATGCTATTGTTTGTGGCTTAAGAATGTCTTTAAGCGGTTTTCCGCCCTGGGTGGGCCAGGTCTTCCTTGCCCTCATTCCTGTAAACCCATAATCTTCCAGCATGGACATTATGGCCATCATGAACATGTCACAGTGCTGCAGAGATTTTTTTTTATGGCCAGTTTTGGGGCCAGTTTATGGCCAGATTTTGGGGAGCTTGTTCCCAACAAGGTCTAAATTCCAATTGTTATTTAAATCTTTCAATCTAGTATCACCTAATATGAATTATCTCTCCAACTAGGTTGGTTTCAGGTTATTTTTCACTGGAGCCAGGGAGTACAAATCAGATCTTAAACCTGCAAGTCCTAAAACAGGGTCTGCCTTGGGAAATCTAGGGCATCAAGTTCTTAGATGATAGGACAATATAAGCCAGGCAGTAGTTTCTTAGCTAAGCACCCTCTGAGCCAGTAAGCAGTTGGCTCCATTTAAATAAGTTAAAAATAGACTAACCAGCAGTTAAAATTTTCAGCACAGCAAAAAGCAGTGAGGACAAGGTTTATTCTTTGATCTCTAAAGGTTTGCTTCGTTGAGTCTGATAATGGTGCATGACGTGAAGAATGTTAGCTATACTCTGGTCTCACATTACCTTGGTTTTACTTAGTCATCAGTGTAATTTATCTAAGGGCAACTTGCTGCTAAAAAAAGAGCTCAGCTTGAAGCCTTCTAGCTTACACAGCAGGAGTTTCTAGAAATTTTACCGCTGGTAAGGAAACTCTTATTTATGGAATCAGGGATCCTTGTTAACATTTTGACTGTTTGGCTTGCAGGCAGAAAACTTTTTTCTATTGCTAGATTTGTCCTGTTTGCAGGAGGCTGAAATATATACAGAATTAAGAATTGACCCTAAGTCCAGGAACTGAAGTAAACCAGAATGAGCATTAAAAATTTTACAAATATAATTCATTTCTTATTAATTTAAAAGTATTATGTGCTTTTTAGGAGAGATTTGTAGGTAGCAAGTATGATTAAAGGGGTATAGTTTGTAGGCATGCCCATGCTGTAATATAGGAAGCTTAGCAATGATTCAGGTAAGTTTCAATCACTCTAGATAATTTTTTTTCTAAGCTGACAATAGAGAGTGAGTATACATACATTGTGAATAAGAACTTGATTTTTTAAATCAGTTATAAATGAGAAAAAAAGCTAATTCCAATATCAACTAATAATATCTCTGTTTAAATAGTCCATGACTAACACGATGTGGTTTACTCTCACACATTTGCTATAAGAGCTCCTAGACTTAGGTACTGTCTGAAGGAAAATGGAAAATAAATGAATTGAGCTATCCCTACTGCATCGTAGCTACACAAGGGATAGTTGCCTTAATCAGTGAAGAACAGAAGGACAAAGAATATATTGGTAGGAGGTATACAGGAGATGAAGGAATCAGAAACCTGAACTGAGAATTAGACTAATTTTGGGGTCCTAAGCTTTCATCTTCCTCTTCTTCTATCCACACATCCATCCATTTGTCCACCCATTAACAAGGATTTAAATATTAAACATAAATTACAAGCCAAGCACTACCTCTAAACAAAGAGGCTCACAATTTGAGAAATAAAATAAAATGTGAGAAATAAAACCCTCAAAAAAGATACACCACAACTGAGGAAGTGCTATCACATTTAATAACATAAACAGAACAAGTGTTGTGAAGTTGGAGGGGGCCTCTCTGTGGATGGGCCATTTGAGCTGGGTCTTAAAGACTGAGAAAGAGTTTGCCAGGAGAAAAAGAGAAGTGAAGACATTTTAGGTAATCATAATAGCATATAAAATGGCTGAAAGTTGCAAATTAAAAACAATGACACTGATGTTGCTATGTAAAAGTTAAGCAGAAACTTAGATGCATAGAAGACACTGATGACAGAGAGTTTATGCATGGATTTTGTGTGCTATAAATATTTTAAAATTTTTTAAACATAGGCAACTTGTAATTGTAGAGAGCTTTTTAAATAAGAAAAGGGCTAGTCTTGTTCAACTCCCGCTTATGAGTGAGAACATGCAGTATTTGGTTTTCTGTTCCTGTGTTAGTTTGCTGAGAATTATGTCATCCAGCTTCATCCATGCCCCTACAAAGGACATGAACTCATCCTTTTTTATGGCTGCATAGTATTCCATGGTATTTTATGTGCCACATTTTCTTTATCCAGTCTATCGTTGATGGATATGTGGGTTGGATCCAAGTCTTTGCTATCGTAAAATGTGCTGCAAGAAACATACGTGTGCATGTGTCTTTATAGTAGAATGATTTATAATCCTTTGGGTATATACCCAGTAATAGGATTACTGGGTCAAATGGTATTTCTGGTTCTAGATCCTTGAGGAATCGCCACACTGTATTCAACAATGATTGAACTAATTTACACTCCCACCAACAGTGTAAAAGTGTTCCTATTTCTCCACAGCCTTGCCAGCATCTGTTGTTTCCTGACTTAATAATTGCTATTGTAACTGGCATGAGATGGTATCTCATTGTGGTTTTGATTTGCATTTCTCTAATGACCAGTGATGATGAGCTTTTTTCATATGTCTGTTGGCTGCACAAACGTCTTCTTTTGAGAAATATCTGTTCATATCCTTTGCCCACTTTATGATGGGGTTTTTTTTTCTTGTAAATTTAAGTTCCTTGTAGATTCTGGATATTAGACCTTTGTCAGATGGGTAGATTGCAAAATTTTCTCCCATTCTGTAGGTTGCCTGTTCACTCTGATGATAGTTTCTTTTGCTGTGCTCTTTAGTTTAGTTAGATCCCATTTGCCAATTTTGGCTTTTGTTGCAATTGCTTTTGGTGTTTTAGTCATAAAGTCTTTGCCCATGCCTATGTCCTGAATGGTGTTGCCTAGGTTTTCTTCTGGGGTTTTTATGGTTTTAGGTCTTATGTTTAAGTCTTTAATCCACTTTTGAGTTGAACAGTGAGAACACATGGACACAGGGAGGGGATCATCACACACAGGGGCCTGTCAGGGGCTGGGTAGCAAGGGGAGGGAGAACATTAGGACAAACATCTAATTTACACGGGGCTTAACACCTAGATGATAGGTTGATAGGTGCAGCAAACCACCTTGGCACGTGTATACCTATGAAACAAACCTGCACATTCTGCACATGTTCCCAGAACTTAAAGTAAAATTAAAAAAAGCAACTACACTACTCAAATTAATAATTTTTCATAAACCCTTTTTACATTAACATCTTTCTTAAAATGGAAGAGGAAATGAGATGGAAAAAAACCCCACATCAATCTGCCGTCAGCTCTTGATAGGTTAATGCTTCTACTGTTTCAGCACTTAGTAATTGATTATTTTTAATATTGATAAATACTTATAGAAGATACTGAAAAATAACAATTTACAGCATGCTAGAGTCAAACCTCAAATTACTTTTATCTTGCACGGAAGAATTAATGGTCTGATAAGACTTCATGTGTCATTTCCAAAAAAAGTAAAACAGTTAAGTGAACTCGTTTATACAGATCACCTCAGTTTCAAAAGAAATTTTACTTGACTTTTCTGTTTCACACTGGTGATTTGTTTTACGTATAAGGATATGGCCTGAAAGCAAAAATGTACTGAAGTAGGAATCAGGACAATTGGTTCTGTTTCAAGTTCTGCCTTGGCCAAATCACCTGACTGTTGTGGGACTCAATTTCCTCACCTACAAAATGAAAATTGTGGATTGATTACTAGTGCTCCTGTCATCACTAAAATTCCATGGTTGTACAAAAAGGAAAAAACATTCCCAAATTTTGAAAAGAATGAGAGTAAAAGCATGACAAAATTGTGCCAATTGGATAAAATAATAATACAGCTAAGACACGTGCCCTAGTGTCCCAAGGCAGGTGTTTTTGCAAAGGACCTACGTTTACTGACCACCTACATAGATGGAAATGAGGGCGATGCTATCACACTGTGTGCAGCTGAGAAACCCTCCATTGTATATAGAAAGGACAGACTTAACTTGACCCAGTAAATAAGCCAAAAATGGGTACCAATTGTTACTAAACTGCAATTAACAATACTTTGCAAACTTCTCCTTTTTACAGCTGGATAGAAATAAGGAGAAGATTTAAAAAAAAAAGTAGGTCTAGCAGAGAAGATTTAAACACACACACAACCTCCAACAAGACAATATTATCATTAACTAGGAAGAACAGACACCAGAACTTAACCAGAACGAGTGACATAGAGTAGCTGAAAGAGAGAGTTACCAGATTCTCCTCTTCGGCCTCGCTTACCTTGTTTTCCTGGAGGGCCTGAAATCCAAAGGATAATTTTTTGAGTGCAGTTTAACTTTTTTTCATGGTTCCAAAATGGCTAATAAATAATTTCTATACATTTTCTTATCATTTTTAACTACCAACTTCAAGAAAGGGGCCAAATATTTGTAAAGGTCGGTATCATCTTCAGTGTTTCAGCAAAACTCTTAAGCTTCATTTAATTATAAAAACTAACCTAGATACATGATCATCCAGTGTTACTTAAAAATATTAATGATTCAGAATTTTTGTTCATTGTGCTTTGATATCATCAATAAAGAAAGGGTTTACTAAGAAAAAAGAAGAAAAAAAGAAAAGGGCTAGTCTTATATTTTTATTTAAAAATAGTAACTTGGGGAGAAATATTGATAATGATCAAAAAGGTGACTTTAACAATAACAGTTGAAGCAAGGCACGGTGAAGTGCTGAATAAATGGCCAGAAGGTCTGGAGAAAAGTGGCCCAAATTGAAAGATACACCTGAATAGCATTCTACAGGATGTTAAATGTGATATATTTAATTTTGAAAACTATCAATTTGGTCACTACAATGAAATTTGAAATTTATGATATATTCAGCATTCTAGAACACATTGAGTGTGGTTTTTTTTAACAAGAAGACTTTTTATGTATTTTCTGTTTTATTGGCATTGTTTGGTTCAATTTCCTTTTACTCTGTCTCCCTACTCAACTTGTTGTTTTATCTATGTTTTTAAAAACTCTAGAACCCTTAACTATATTCACACCTTATGACAAAGACATTTTAGATCTGGGTAATATGGTAATCTTAATAACATTTTATAATTATTTAGCACTTTCAAAATTTCTTTCACAGAACTTCATGTGTTTCTCTTAACAAATCAGAAGCATTATGTGAAAAGTATGGCACTTAGAGAGTAAGTTTGGCCAATCTCAGAAAAAGTCAATATTCCAACACTGACCATTTGACTACAAATATGTAACCTATTATTCTACACTATACAACCTTTTTTTAAAAAAATCGATTTCTTAATGCTATCTGCATTTTCAAACCATATTTATTTTCTTAATTTTGGATCTCTATGTTTTTACTAAAAGTAATCACAGAAAGATTAAAGTTACTAAAATTCTTACATAATTAAAAGACTCTGGATGTAAAAATAGAGTGCTGGTGACCTACTCTTAAAGGGTTTATTTTTAATTAAATAAGGAAGGATCATCTGAAGTGTTCTATTCTGTAAAGTGATCACATTTGAGTGCTCAATAACTGTAAAATATAATAACAATTACTAAATAAGCAGTGTTAAAAAGAACATGTACTAGAAACAATAGCATGAACTATCATTCAAAACAATTAAAATATCATTAGGGTTATAAACTTCATAAAGCTTTACTCTTGGCTCTTTATGTAAAAGATGTCATAGGTAGTCAATAAACCTAAAGCTTTGCACTAAATACACTTCACAGAAAGGCCTAAATTTTTTAATACTTGTGCAAATAAAATTTCTGTGTGGTGCAGCATCCTTCACAGATCAGCTAACTTAAGAAGCAAGTTAATTGTGAATAAAATTATCTTGGGTTAAGTACTGATCAATACTGATATATCCTTACCAATAGCCAATGAGTCAACTCTCTAATTCAAACAGTTATTAGAACTCTAAAACTTTAACACTAAAGGCATGTGCCCAGGTGGGCAGAACTACCATTCCCACAGCCTCCATCTCTCTTTCATTTGATTTGTATAGTCTTCTAGAGTTTTTCTTACTTTCATTACTATAGACAAAATGAATCATACTGAGAATAAGACAATTCTGCTTCCCATAAGTTGCTTTCAATCTTGGCTCTTGTAAACATAGGAGTGCAGATATCTTTGAAGTCTTAGATTTAAGTCTTTAATCCATTTTGATTTCATTTTTGTATAAGGCAAGAGATAGGGATCAAGTTCATTCTTCTGCATATAAAAATCCAGTTTCCCCAGCACATTTAAGAGACTGTCTTTTCCTCAAGGTATGTTCTTGGCACCTTTGTCAAAAATGAGTTCACTATAGGTGTGTGGATTTGTTTCTGGGTTCTCTATTCTCTTCTATTGGTCTATCCGTCTATTTTTATGCCAGTACCATGCTGTTTGGGTTACTATAACTCTGTAGAACAATTGGAAGTCATGTAAATTGATTCCTCCATTTTTTTTCCTTAGGATAGCTTGATCTACTCTGGGTCTTTTGTTGTTTCATATAAATTTTGGAATTCACTTTTCTATTTATGTGAAGAATGTTATTGGTAATTTGATAGAGATTACATTAACTCTATATTGCTTTGGGTAGTATGGACATTTAAACAATATTGATTATTCTAGTCTATGAATATGGAATCTATCAATTTTTGGTGTCCTCTTTATTTCATCAGTGTTTTATAGTTTTTATTATAGAGATCTTTCACTTCTTTGGTTAATTCTTAGGTATTTAATTTTATTTGTAGCTGCTGTAAATGGGATTACCTTTTTGATTTTGTTACTGGTATATAGAAATGCTGACTTTTGTATGTAGATTTTGTATCTGGCACATTTATTTAATTTGTTTATCAGTTCTAATAGTTTTTTTGGTTGAGTATTCAGGTTTTTCCAAATATAAAATCATACCAGTGAATAGGCATAATTTGACTTCTCTCTTTCCAATTTGGATGCTCTCTATTTCTTTCTCTTGTCTAGTTGCTCTAGCTAAGACCTCCGGTACTACATTGAATAATAATGGTGAAAGTGGGCATCTTTGTCATGCTGCAGTTCCGAGAGAAATGACTTTCAGATGTTCCCCATTCAGTACAATACTAACTGTTGGTCTGTCATATATATGGCTTTTATTATTTTGAGGTATGTTCCTTCTACATCCAGTTTCTGAGGGTTTTTATCCTGAAGGGATGTTGAAATTTATCAAATGATTTTTCAGCATCTGCTGAAATGATCATATGGTTCTTGCCCTTTATTCTGTTGATATGTTTTACATTGATTGATTTGCATGTTGAATGGCCCTTGCATCCCTGGGGTAAATCCCACTTGGTCGTGATGAATAATCTTTCTAACATATTGTTGAATTTGGTTTGCTGTTTTGTTGAGTATTTTTGCATCAATATTCATCAGAGATATTGGCCTCTAGTTTTTTTTCTTTTTCTTTCTTTCTTTTTTTTTTTTTGATGTGTCTCTGGTTTTGGTATCAAGATAATACTGGCCAGATAGGATGAGTTTGTAAGTACTCCCACTTCCACTATTTTTGGGGGCAGTTTGAATGGGATTGATATTAGGCCTTCTTTAAATGTTTGGTAGAATTCTGAAGTGAAGTTATTGGGTCCTGGGCTTTCCTTTGCTGGGAGACTTTTTATTATGACTTTGATCTCCTTACTTGTTCTTGGTCTGAACAGGTTTTGGATATTTTCCTGGTTCAATCTTAGTAGGTTGTAAGTGTGCAGGAATGACCCATTTCTTCTAGATTATCCTATTTATTAGCATATACTTACTTATGGTAGCCACTAATGATCCTTTGAATCTCTGCAGCATCAGTTTTAATGTTTCATTTTTTACCTCTGGTTTTATTTCTTTGGGTCTTTTTTTTCTTGTTAGTCTGGATACAAGTTTGTAATTTTGTTTATCTTTTCAGAAAACAACTTTTGCTTTATTGATCTTTCTGTGTTGTTTTCATTTCATTTGTTTCTGCTCTGATCTTTCTTATTTCTTTTTTCTACTAACTTCTGTTCAGTTTGGTATTACTTTTCCAGTTCTTTAAGATGCATCATTAGGTTATTGAAGTTTTTATTCTTTTTTGACGTAGGCATTTATAGCTATAAATTTTCTTCTTAGGACTGCTTTCATTGTATTCCATAGGTTTTAATATGTTGTGTTTCCATTATCATTTTTTTCCAAGAAATTTTTCAATTTTCTCATTAATCCACTGGGTCATGTTGTTTAATTTCCATGTGTTTGTATAGTTTCCAGAATTCTTTGTTATTGATTTGTAGCTTTATTCCATTGTAATCAGAGAAGATGCTTGATATTATTTCAATTTTTTGAATGTTTTATGACTTGTTTTACAATATAACATACGGTCTATCTTTGAGAATGAACAAAATGTATATTCTGCAGCCATTTTATGAAATGTTCTGTAAATATCTATTAGGTCCATTGATTCTATAGTGCAGATTATTTCCAATATTTCGTGATCTTCTGCCTGGAATACCTGTCCAATGCTTAAAGTAGGGTACTGAAATCTCCAGCTATTATTGTATTGGGAGCTATCTCTCTTTTTACCTTTAATAATATTTGCTTTATATATCTTGGTATTCCATGGTTGTGTGGATATATATTTATAGCTATTATACCCTTTTGCTGAACTGACCTTTTTATCATTATATAATGGCCTTCTCTGTCTCTTCTTATAGTGTTGGTCTCAAAATCTATTTTCTCTGATATAACTACTCCTGCTGTTTTTGGTTTCCATTGTCATGGAATATTTTTTTCCATCCTTTTATTTTCAGTCTATGTACCTTTATAGGTGAAGCATGCTCCTTGTACCTTGTAGGCAAAAGATCACTGGGCCTTGTTTTTTCATACATTCAGCCACTCTGTGTCTTCAGATTGGAGAGTTTAGTACACCTACATTCAATGTTATTATTAATAAGTAGGAACTTACTCCTGCCAGTTTGTTATTTGTTTTCTGGTTGTTGTGTGTTCTTCTCTTATCTTTTCCCCTTCCTTTCTGTCTTCCTTTTAGTGAAGATGACACTCTCTGGTAGTATGCTTGCATTTCTTGCTTTTTATTTTTTGCATATCCATCATATGTTTTGTTATTTTTGGTTTGAAATTACTATGCGGCTTGCAAATACTATCCTATAACCCATTATTTTAAATTGATGACAACTTAGCACTGATTATATTAACAAACACACAAAAGAAAAACAATAAAAACTCTACATTTTAACTTTGTCCTCCACTTTTTAACATTTTGTTGTTCCTTTTTATGTTTTGTACTGTGTCTTGCAAAGTTGTAGTTATTTTTGATTGGTTCATCATTTAGTCTTTCTAATTAAATTGAGAAGCTTATGCAGTAAAATTATAGCACTGTACTATTCTATATTTTCCAGTGCTTACTATTACCAGTGAGTTTTGTACCTTCAGTTGATTTCTTCTTGCTCATTTAAAGATTACCAGTGAGTTTTGTACCTTCTGTTGATTTCAGATTTAAAATCTCCCTTTACCAATTCATGTAGGGCAGATCTGGTGATGAGTTCCCACAGATTTTATTTATCTGTGAAGTTCTTTACTTCACTTTCATGCTTAAAGAATGTTTTTGCTATACAATTCTAGGTTAAAAGATTTTTTCTTATTTCAGCACTTCAAATATATCATGCCACTCTTTTGGCCTGTAAGGTTTCTACTGAAAAGTCTGCTACCAGACATACTGGAGCTTCATTGTAGGTTATTTTTTTCTTTTCTCTTGCTGCTTTTAAGATCCTTTTTTAATGCTTGACTTTGGAAATTTATTAAATGCCTTGAGGTAGTCATCTTTGGGTTAAATATGCTTGGTGTTCTATAATCTTCTTGTATTTGGAGGTTGATATTTTTCTCTGGTTTTGGGAAGTTCTCTGTTTTAACCCTTTGAATCAACTATCAACCCCTGTCTCTTTCTCTACCTCTTTATTAAGGCCAACAACTTAGATTTGTCCTTTTGATGCTATTTTCTAGATCTTGTAGGTATGGTTTTTTAAAATTGTTTTTCTTTTGCCTCCTCTATGTATTTTCAAATAGACTGTCTTTAAGCTCTTATTCTTTCTACTGCTTGATCAGTTCTGCTATTCAGAGACTCTGATGCATTCTTTGGCATGTCAATTGCATTTTTCAACTCTATATTTTCCCTTTGATTCTTTTTAATTATTTCAATCTCTTTTTATCTGATTAAATTCTGAATTCCCACTCTGTGTTACAATGAATTTCTTTCAGTTTCTTCCAGACAGCTATTTTGTATTCTCTATCTGAAAGGTCACATATTTCTGTTTCTCCAGGATAGTCCCTGGTGCCTTATTTAGTTCATTGGGTGAGGTCACGTTTTCCTGGATGGTGCTGATACTTGTAGATGTTCTTAGATATTTAGGCATTGAAGAGTTAGGTATTCATTGTAGTCTTCACAGCCTGGGCTTGTTTGTGCCTGGCTTTCTTGAGAAGGTTTTTCTAGGTTTTTGAAGGGACTTAGCCCCAAGCCCAATAACATTGTGGATTTTGAAGACTCATAGAGGTAACACTTTGGTCATCTTGGATAAGATATAGAAGACTTTTCTGGATTACCAGTCAGAGTCTCCTGTCCTTATCCCTTATTTTCTCCCAAACGTACAGACTCTCTCTCTCTCTCTCTCTTTCTCTGTACTGAGACACCTGAAACTAGAAGGCTGGTGATGCAAGCACCCCTGTGGCCACCACCACTGAGACAGTGCTAGGTCAGAACTGAAAACTGGGTAGCACTAGGCCCTGCCGAAAGCCCTTGCCTTCAGGGTGGTCATTTACCCCAGGCCCCAGGCATATCCAGAGATGTTGTCTGGAGAACAAGGATTAGAGTCAAAAATCTTAGCAATTTTCCTGAAGTTCTATTCTACTGTGACTAAGCTGGCACTTAAACCTCAATGCAAAGTTCTTCCCCATCTTTCCTTCCCTTTACAGAAGCAGAAAAGCCTTCCCTCTGGCCACCACCACCACTGGTCTATGGGGACTTCTGCGAGGCTACTGACAATGTTTGCTTCAAGTCCAAGGGTTCTTCCATCAGTTTTTGGTGAAGGCTGTCAGATCTGAAACTCACCCTACAGGAAAGTGGGCTCGCCCATGGCCCAGGGAAGGTCAAGAAATGCTGTCTAAGAGCCTACACCTGGAGTCAAGGACCCAGAAAGCCTGCTTTTTGCTCCACTCCACTGTGGCCGAGCTGATACCTAGGGTGCAAGAAGATGTCCCTTTTGCTTTTCCCTCTGCCTTTCTCAAACAGGAGGAGTCTTTCACTATAGCCACCACAGCTGAGAATGTGCTGAGTCTCCCCTGAAGCCAGCAGATCTCAGAGCCCAAGGCCCATAGTGTACTCCCTGGGTATCACTGGTAGTTATCCAGAGCCCAAGGGCTCCTTAGTTAGCAGGTGATGAGTCCTGCCAGGATTGTGTCCTTACCTTCAAGACAGCAGGATCCTTTTTGGCATAGGATGTATCTAGGAATGCCATCCAGGAGCTAGGGCTTGGAATGGGGGCTTCATGACTCTGCCCGGTGCCTTATCCTTCTGTGGCAGAGCTAATATTCGAGATGCAAGACGAAGTCCTCGTTACTCATTGCTGTCCTCTCCTAAGCATAAGGAAGAAGGTGCTTTTGTTGCTAGGAGCTGTACTGCCTGGGGCTGTGGGAGGGAGGGTACATGTCCTCCCTTTGCCATGCCAGCTGGTATCTCACTAGGTCATGTGCCACCCTAGTCCACTGGCTCTAAGCCCAACCTAGCACTGGGAGTTGCCTAGGAATTGCAAACCTTGTGTTCTAGACTACAATTCAAGTTTACCTAGGACCTTGGGGCACTTCAGTCTGCAGTGATGAGGCTTGCCAAGAAAGTTTCAACTGCTGTGATGGGTGACTGTCTGGCTAGGGCTGGTCCAAATGCTCTTTCCATGTGCAGATGCTAGCTGAGCCCAGCTCAGCTTTATTCTCTGCTGTGACAAAGCAGCACAAATTCTGTGTGAAGCCCTCCAATCCCTGCACTGTCCCTCCTCAAAGTGCAAACATTATTACTCCAAACAGCAGGGCTGCTGCTGAGGGACATGGGGGAGGGGAGGTGTCAGAGATTCAAGACTCTCTCAAACCCTTCTCAATGTCCCTTTCAACAATATGGACATAATATGCTCACCTAATTTTGGGTTCTTGTGACAGTGTTTTTCTGTGTGAAGACAGTTGTTAAAATTTGGCGTTCTAGTGTGGGGGATGAACAGTGTAGGCTTCTATTCCACCATCTTGTTCCACCCCTTGTAGTGTATGTTGAATTCAGGCAGTGTGATGCCTCCAGCTTTGTGCTTCTTGTTCAGAATTGCTTTGGCTATTTGGGATCTTTTGTGGTTCCATACAAATCTTTATTCTTTTTTCCTATTTTTGTGAAAAGTGTCATTGGTGTTTTAAAAGGGATAGTATCAAACCTGTAGATTGCTGTGTGCAATATGGTCATTTTAACAATATTGATTCTTTCAATTCACGAACACAGAAAGCCCCTCCATTTGTATCCTTTTCAATTTTTCTCAGTGGTTTGTGGTTTTCAGTGTAGAAATCTTTTACTTACTCAATTAATTCCTAGATTTTTTGTAGTCTTTGTAAATGTGATTAACTTCATTTTCATCTTGTTCATTATTTGTGTCTAGAAATACTATGGAATTTTTTTCTCTAACTACTACATTTATTAGTTCTAAGAGTATTTTGATTGAGTTTTTAGGAATTTCTCTACATAACATATTGCCTACAATGGAGGACAATTTTGCTTCCACTTTTCCAATTTGGATGGCTTTATTTCTTCTTCTTGCCTAATTTCTCCAGTACTATATTGAAGAAGAGCGTGAAAGTCAGCATCCTCATTTTGTTCCAGTTCTTAGAGATAACCTTTTCTGCATTCACTATTGTGTTAGGTGTGGGATTGTCATATATGGCCTTTATTCTGTTGAGGTATATTTCTTCTATTCCTAACTTGTTGCAAGTTTTTATCATGGAGAACAGTTGCACTTTATCAAATGCTCTGTCTACACCTATTAAGATGAGCATATGTTTTTTGTCCATCATTTGATTGATGTGATGAATCACATCTTTGCATTGCTGGGGTAAGTCATACATGCATACTGGGATAAATAATCGTATATTATCTTTTTGATGTGCTCTTGGATTCAGTTTCCTACTATTTTATTGATGATTTCTGCATCTATGCTAATTAGACATATTGGCGTATAGCTTTCTTTTTCACTGTATCCTTGTTTGGTTTTCAAACAGTGTAATGCTGGCCTCATAGAATATATTAGGAATAATTCTTTTCTATATTTCTGGAACAGTTTGAGTAGAATTGGTGTTTGCTCTTTTTTGAAAGATTGGCAGAATTCAGCAGTAAAGCAGTCCTGTCCCGGGGTTTATTGGGAGGCTTTTTATTACTGACTCAAACTTGTTATTTATTATTAGTGTGGTGAGCTTTTTCATTTCTTCCTAATATATGCCTATGAATTCATTCATTTCCTATAGGTTTTCTATTTGTTGGCATATACCTGTTCATAGTTATCTCTAATGATCCTTTGTATTTCTGTGGTATCAGTTGTATTATCTCCTTTTTATGATTTTATTTATTTGGGGCTTTTGTTTGTATAACAACTTTTGTTTTAATTTCAGGGTACAAGTACAGGTTTGTTACATAGATAAACTTATGTCATAGGGGTTTATTGTACAGATTTCATCACCCAGGTATTAAGCCTAGTACCCACTGTTTTTCCTGATCCTCTCCCTCCTCTCACCCTCCATTCCCCAAAAGGCCCCAGTATGTTTTTCCCCTCTATGTGCCCATATGTTATCATTTAGCTTCCACTTATAAGAACATTCTGTATTTGGTTTTCTGTTCCTGTGTTAGTTTGCTAAGGATAATGGCCTCTGGCTCGGTCCATGTTCCTGCAAAGGGCATATTGTTCTTTTTCGTGGCTGCACAGTATTCCATAGTGTATATGTACCACATTTTCTTTATCCAGTCTATCATTGATGGACATTTAGGTTAATTGCATGTCTTTGCTATTGTAAATAGTACTGCAATTAACATATGTGTGCATATGTCTTTATAATAGAATGATTTATAATTCTTTGAGTACGTACCCCGTAATGGGATTGCTGGGCCAAATGGTATTTCTGTCTTTAGGTCTTTGAGGAATTGCCACACTGTCTTCCACAATGGGTGGGCTAATTTCCACTCCCACCAGCAGTGTATGCTTTCTCTCCACAACCTTGCCAGCATCTGTTATTTTTTGACTTTTTAATAATGGCCATTCTGACTGGTTTGAGATGGTATCTCATTGTGGTTTTGATTTGCATTTCTCTCATCAGTAATGTTGAGCTTTTGTTTATGTACTTGTTGGCTACATGTATGTCTTCTTTTTAAATGTGTCTGTTCGTGTCCTTTGCCCACTTTTTTATGGGGTTGTGTGTGTTTTTTTATTGTAAATTTGTTTCTTATAGATGCTGGATATTAGACCTCTGTCAAATGCACAGTTTGTAAAATTTTCTCCTATTACTGTGAGGACAGCTTCTTTTGCTGTGCAGAAGGTCTGTAGTTTCATTATATCCCATTTGTCAATTTTTGCTTTTGTTGCAATTGCTTTTTGCATCTTCTTTGTAAAATCTTTGCCTGTGCCCTAAATGGTATTGCCTATGTTGTTAGGATTTTTATAGTTTTGGGTTTTACATTTAAGTCTTTAATCCATCTTGAATTAATTTTTGCACATAGTGTAAGGAACGAATCCAGTTTCATTCTTCTGCATATGGCTAGCAGTTTTTCAGCACCATTGATTGAATAGGGAATCCTTTCTCCATTGCTTTTGTCAGGTTTGTTGAAGATCAGAGAGTTGTAGGTGTACGGTCATATTTCTGGGTTCTCTATTTTGTCCCATTGATCTATGTGTCTGTTTTTGCACCAGGACCTACTGTTTTGCTTACTCGATCCCTGTAGTATAGTTTGAATTCAGGTAATGTGATGCCTCCAGCTTTGTTCTTTTTGCTTAGGACTGCCTTGGCTATTTAGGTTCTTTATTGGTTTCATATGAATTTTGAAGTAATTTTTCTAGTTCTGTGAAGAATGTCAATGGTAGTTGAATAGTAATAAATAGCATTAAATGTACAAATCGCATTGGGCAGTATGGACATTTTAACAATATTGATTCTTCTTGTCCATGAGCATGACATGTTTTTCCATTTGTGTCATCTCTGATTTCTTTGAGCAGTGGTTTGTAGTTCTCTTGGTAGAGATCTTTCATTTCTATAGTTAGTTGTATCTGTAGGTATTTTATTCTTTTTGTGGCAATTCTGAATGACAGTTTATTGTTGCTTTGGTCCTTGTATTGACTGTTGTTGGTGTATATGAATGCTAGTGATTTATATGGAATATCTTTTTTCAAACCTTCACTTTCAGTTATGTGAATCTTTACAGGTGATTAGAGTGTTTTTTAGGCAGAATACAGTGGGGTCTTTTGAAAACATCTATTTAGCTTGTCTGTATCTTAATTGGAGGATTTAAAACTTTGACACTCAAGGTTGTTATTGATAAGTGAGGACATACTTCAGTCATTTTGTTAATTGGCTTCTGATTATCTTGTATGTTATTTTTTCTTATCTTGGTCTCTTACTGTTTATCTTTGTGATTTGGTAGTTTTCTATAGTGATAACTTGATTCCTTTCTTTTTTATTTGTGTATGTGCTTTCACAGTGAGTTTTATAATTTTGTGTGCCCTCATGATGGTAGATACTATTCTTTCATTTTCAGATCAATCATTCCTTTAAGCATTTCGTGTAGGGTGGTGAATTCTCTCCATTTTTTTCTTTGCCTGGGAAAGACTATTTCTCCTTCATTTCAGAAGGATACCTTTACTGTGTGTATTATTCCTAGCTGACAGTAATCATTTTTATACTCTTTGCATATATTATTCTATTTTTTCCTTGCCTGTAAGGGTTTTCCTGAGAAATCTGCTGTTAATAGTTTGATAGGATTTCCTTATGAATGACTTGGCACTTTCCTCTTGCTGTTCTTCGAATTCTCTTTGTTGTTGTCTTTTGAAAATTTGAGTATAAGGTGCCTGAAGAGAAACTCTTTGGATGAATGTATTTGGGAAACTTTCAGCTTCCTGTATATGTATCTCTCTTCCAAGATTTGAGAATTTTTTAAGCTATTATATTATTAAATTGTTTTTTCATGGTTTTTCCTTATCTCTTCTGAAACTCTCAAAACTCAAATATTTGTTTATTTGATGATGTTCCATGTTACATACACTTTTTTCATACTCTATTTTTACTTTACTTTCTATTGTATTTTTATTTCATCCATTGAATTCTTCAGTTCTAAGGTTTCTGTCTGGTTTGTTTTTATGTTATGCACCTTATTTAATGTCACATTCGTTTGATCATAAATTGTTTTTCTGATATTTTTGTATTATGTATGTGTGTTCTGTTTTATTTCCTGAAGATCATTATTTTTGAATTCCTTTTCAAACATTACATAGATATTCTTTTCTTCACAGTCTTTTACTAGGGAGTTACAGTATTTCTTTGGAGATGTCACGTTTCCCTACTTTCATGTTCCCCTACTTTTTCATGTTTCTTGTGTTAGTACATTGATATCTACACATCTGGTATAAAACTCACTTCTTCCCATATTATGGAGTAGCTTCTGTCTGGGAGTACTTTCTTCTTGCAGATGTATCTATAGTGTCAACTGAATAAAACACATTAGCTTTGGTGTTGGGTGGGTACCTTAGTGTAGTCTCCATAGGATTTCTTCAGCTTTAATAAATATCAGTGGTATCTGTAAGTTCCTCACTGGCTTAGGCTGTGGTTGTGTGTGGAGGCTGTAGTAAGGCTTTGCTGGAGACTAGGGCACTGGGTGGATTTCTCCCTAGGCTCCAGGGTGGCATACTTGGGTACCAGTTGTGGTGGTAGTGGGCCATGGGTAAACTAGTACTCAGTTCCCCTGATGGCTCATACAGACAGAGTGATGTTGGCGGCTGGATATAGCCTCAGGCTCCTGTGGCAGGTTGTGTGGTCACAGGCAGTAGTGGTGGCAGTCCAGACAGGCCAGTCCTTAGACCCTGGACATTATGCACAGGTAACTCTGGTGGCAGTAGGAGGCCAGGTTTTCAGTCTCCAGGTGGTACACATGGATGCACAGCAGCCTGCGCTCTGGAGGGGTGAGATTGTATTGATGTCTGTGTCCCTAGTCAAGCAGCTCTCAGAATCCACGGAGCACATGCTTTGGCTCCCTATTTCCTGGGTGCAGCCTCCTGGATATGCTCAATTATCTCTTCCCTGGGATATAGGATACTGTATGGACTCGGGTACCAGAGACATGATGGCACCACTGGGTCCAGCTGGTGTCATAATGCTGCAGTCAACTGAGTCAACATGAGGTAATGTCAGTTGGGCCCTAAGAATGTGAAAATACAGGGTTAATTGGGCTCCAGGGAAGGATGTAATATGGTGTTGCCTCTGCTCTCCAAATGCCACTGTGCTGCAGCATCCTGGGTCCCAGTGTGTGGACGAGACCCAATGTAAATATCCTCTTTGAAATAATGTAGTTGTATGGACTCCAGGTAGTTTCCTACACTAACCTCAGGGCCTCTAAGGACTTAGGAGCTCCCCTGTTACTAGGATTGCAGACATATGTGGTGGAAAGGTGGACTATTGACAATGTCTCACCTACCATTTCTCCTATAACCATAGAGTCCTCTCTGGCTCTGAGCCTGTCCTCACTGGCTGCTTCACGTCCCTCTCTATGCTGCCATCTCAAGTTTTTATGGCTCAGAGAGTTCCTGTCACTTCCCTGCTGAATTCCTGTGTTCTTCCTTAGAAACTCTATTCTATTTTTGATTATCTACTGGCTGTTTTGTTTCTTCTTCGTGGAGAAGGTAAGTGCCATGTACTTCTAGTCAGTCATCTTGATGACTTGTCTAAAAAAAAATTTTTTAAAATGTGTTTTCAACTATATTATGTTCAAAAGATATTCTCAAACTGTAATGAGCTTCATAATATATCATGTAGTTTATAAAACTGCAGCTCCCAAAATTGTCAATCCATTTACTCATTTTTTCAATCTATAACACAAAACAGTTTAAGGACAAATTCCTAAGAAAAAGTTGAAGTTTTTAATTGTGTGTTTTATTTGATATATGTTTAACTTCTTTTCAATTTACATGAGTTCATATATTGGTATTCATGGTTATTTATTCCCACTTTTCAATCAATCTTTCATTATTTTATCCATCATTGTTAAATGGTATTCTTTGACTCTCACACATTACCTGCCCAGTAGTGAATAATTTGAATCTTTCCCCTTTCTCTTGCTCTTCTGATAATTTTAGTAGCAATGTTTTCTACTTGTCAAATCATATGTTTACATAATATTTTTTAATGTTACCACTCTTGGTTGTATGTTGGTTCTATGATTGAAAATAATAAATGATCCAGTAGCCTATGTTTTCAAAGTTTCCCTAGGCATTTATGGTTAGATGGCACCCATCCTTCAGTAGAATTCTCAGAAACAGCACTTGAACACAGTGAACTCTGGTGTTCTTGAATATTGCAAACTGATTTTCTATGTTCTTAATACTTGAAAGAGAGCTTGGCTTGATCTAAAATCCCTGGCTCCTATTTTGTTCCTTTAAACTTCTTAAAAACATTGCTTCACCATTGCCTTACTTTGTGCATTTGAGAAAAATAATTATTTTTCCCTTATTCGTTATTTAATCTTTTTGTCTGGAAGCCCTAAGGATTTTTTTCCATCTTCCAATTTTAGGTTTTAATAGAGTATATCTCAGAATTGATTGCTCTTGTCAATATTATGAGGTACCCACGAGCCCTATCAATGCTTAGCTTCTGTCTTCTTCTATTTCTAGGAAGCTTCCTTGGATTACACTTTGGGCAGTTTTTTTTTCCCCCATTGTTGTTTAGTTTGTTCTTCTATTCAGGGACTCCAATATTTATATGTTGGATCTCCTTTATATGACTGCTATTTCAACTTACTCCCTTTAATCCTTTCTTGAATTATTATTATTATTATTATTTTTTTTTTTTTGAGACAGAGTCTCACTCTGTTGGCCAGGCTGGAGTGCAGTGGTGCGATCTCGGCTCACTGCAACCTTTGACTCCTGGGCTCAAAGCAATTCCCCTGCCTCAGCCTCCTGAGTAGCTGGGTACAGGCATGTGCCACCACACCCACCTAATTTTTGTATTTTTAGTAGAGATGGGGTTTCACTATGTTGGCCAGGCTGGTCTCGAACTCCTGACCTCAAGGTAATCCTCCCAAAGTGCTGGGATTACAGACATGAGCCACCACGCCCGGCCGAATTATTTTCATTCTTATGTTTACTTTCCTTCTTTTCTATATTCCTTATTAAATGTTCATGCAAATGTATACTTGCTTGGACATCTTGGACTTTACTCTTCATTTCTCATATGATTTTGCTCTGTTGAAAACATTTTCTTCCTGAGTTTAACAACTATAACATTTCTTCATATTTTTTACCTATACAATTTTAATTTGTGAATTTCTAATTCAAGATTTCTTTTCATACCTAAAATGGCTTCTATTACATGATACAATTCCATTTGAAATGTTACTTTAATAGTTGATTTTTAAAGAAAAGTTATCAGCTGTAATATTTCTATTCATATTTTTTAAATTTTATTTTTACAATAGCTTTGTAAAATATTAATTTAATTTGTATCTCCTATATTTAAGCATTTGTGAAAAGAATTTCTAACTTACATGTGCCTTCTTCCCTTGCTTAAAGGAACCATTTTCTTTAATGAAAGATATTGGGTGGAGATAGAATTAGGTATGTTTTCTTTTTAGTTTGTCCTTTTACCTCTTTAGAATTCTGATTTTTATTTTATCTTATCTCCCTACAATGCTATGTCTCCAAGTTTAATCATGCTTACTCTGTTTACAAATACAGAACTCACGCCTCCTTAAAAACAATACTTCTATTCCCCCTCAATTTTGAACCATTTCCTACTAATTATAAAAAGTGTGCTCATTAGGTTTATACTATTAGATTTTTATTTCAAGCATTAAGGGTTTTATCTTGTTGTTCCATGTCCCCCTCCTCTTTTTATTAGACTCTTATATCCCTTATTATACTCTCTAGACACATTGGCTTGAAATGATTGTGGCCACTTTGTTGTAATTAGGTGTATTTATTTCTCTACTTTATAGGTAATTTGAAGGTAGCAGTATTTCTCTGAATTCTAGGAATGCTCAAGGTATAGTCCATATATTTTTATTTGTTTTACTTATTTTGCAGCTTATGAATTATAAGATACATTAACAGAGTTCTCAGGGATTTTCTTTTTCTTGCTTCATGAAAATTTATTTCTGTTTCTCCAAGGCTTTAGAAGAATTTGGCTTATTATATATTGGTGTTGGATATATTTGACGAATCAAGGAATAGGACTTATCCATAGTTGGGGGAAATGTTAATGTATCAGCAGCAGTAGATTAGACAAATGAATCTACAAGACCATAGACATGCTTTGCAAGGCTCTGGAACCATGGTATTGGCCATTGTGATAGATGAAAATGAGGATAGATTTTTGAAGCATAAACATTCATTAAGAAACAAAAAATGGTCAAATATAAACAAGCTTTTTAAGTATATTCATTAGAAGTTAGAGTTCAGGCTTCTCTTATCTGTAAATCACAAGGAAATGATATTTGCAGTCTAGATAATTTGTGACTATTTGATACTCATATCAGTCAGTCAGGACTCTGTGGTTCCAAGTAATTAAACCTGACTTCTGTTAGTTGAAGCAGAAACTAAAGAAGGTATCATCTTTTAGAACCTAGCCACTTAAAGAATCAATACAGGTCTGACCTAAAGTGCTTAGTTGAATGATATTAACTCAAAGACTATGTATGTGTATTTGTGTGTGTGTATGAGTGTGTGTGGGCATGCTGTATAAAGGTAGATTATACATGTATGTATATGTCTAATATTGTAAGTGTGTGTATTACACATTGCATACAACTATCTCAGACATTCAAAATTTGCAAAAAAAAATTTACCTTTTTCTTTGAAATTCTGCAGTCAAGATATCATAATTTTTCTGCACAATATACCAGGAAACAAAACATTTGCATTAACTCAGATAGTAAGTAGACTATTACACCATAATGTATACTATCCTCCAAACTAGCCTGGTCAAATAATATGTTACATGTTTACAGATATCGTATGACTGTCAAACAAATATAAGGAAATTCTATTTCTGGAATGGTATTATGAGAAGCTGAATGGGCCACTCAGTGAAATGAACATAACTGGTAATAATAATTAAAAGTAATGTCTCTGGAATTATTCTAAAGGCATACAGCCAAAGACGACACATTTATTTAAGAAAACCTACTAAAACTCAGTAAGAACAATGAGACTGGCATTTGAACGATGACCTCTCTCTCTGCACTCTCAGCATAATGTGATGGAAACTTCCCTCAGGCAAATGTAGCTAAGAACACAACTATCCCCCTAGTGGAAGGGTATGATATCTTCTGAGGAGGAGCAAGCCAGTGGAATTTTTTTTTTTAATACTCCTTTCAGCTACTTTGCAGAGGCTAAATTCCAGGCAAGTTCACTGAAGAGGTCAGTGGCTCGCTTTATCCACTGAGCCCCACTCATGGGTGGGGGCCTTAGCTTACGGACAACATGCTGAGAACACCAGGCCCCAATGGCTTTCATACCAACTCATTTATAAGGAAGAGTTTCCCCACCTAATCTGTAGAAAAGAAGCATGCCTAGAAAACTAGGGGTGTACATGCCTTTCCAGCAGGGGTAACTCAGCGAAAAGTGGTCCAAAGTCCTGGACTGCAGCTCTAGGAACTTGGTTCAGAAATTTTGTCCAGGGGCAGAGGCAAGTCTCAACAGAGAACTCTGAAGCTTTACTGAAAAGAACTGACTTCACTTAAGTAGAGTCTGGCGAAGTTCAAGCCTAACGGTGCTTTCCAAAACATTGAAGGTGTTAATAAAGCAATTACATGGAGGTAACTTCATGAGAAGAATAAGATCAGTCATACTCAAGCCGCTTTAGGAGAGACGAGGGGAATGAGACAGCTAAGAAAAGCAATCCTGGAGTCATAAAAACCTCATATAGTGGCCCCAAATACTATCTGGGCAAAGGTCCTCAATTTAATTGGAACAGTCTATAGAACAATATATGCCCCATGGAATTTTTGAAAACAGAGTACCTGATCAGCAACTCGATGTGATCAGTGTAAGAAACAGTTAAAGATAGCTCTGCTGAAACTACTGTCATCCCAGGGTGACTTTGAACATGTCCAGAGCTATAACCTCTGAGGAGCGACTTCAGGAACTTCATGCCTTGGGACAAATAGACTTCACTAAAATATTCCAGACAGTCACTAAACAAACAGAAAACAACTACTGCTACTCAGAAGAATCAATAAGGAAATAAAAGATGTGGACAAGCTTATATACCAACCAGATGTAACAGACATCTGTAGAACACTGCACCCAACAACAGCATAGTACACATGAAACATTCTCCAGGGTAGAGTATGTGTTAGGCCATAAAATAAGCCTCAATAAATTAAAGTAATTGAAATTCTACAAAGCATATTCTGCAGCCACAACTGAATAAAATTAGAAGTCAATAACACAAAGAAATTTGGGAAATTCACAAATACATGAAAATTAAACAACATACTCCTAAATAACCAAATAATCAAAAAAGAAATCACAAGGGAAATTAGAAAGTGCTTTGGATATAAATTAAATGAAGACAAAACATACCAGAGCTTATCAGACGCAGTTAAAGCAAGTACTTAGAAATCTGTAGTTGTAAGTGCCTATTATTTTAAACAGGGAAAGATCTGAAATCAATAAGGTAACATTTCACCTCAAGACACTAGGAAAAAAAGATCAAATTCTACTCAAAGAAAGATTAAAAAAGCAAATAGTTTTGAAATTAATAAAATACAGACTATAAAAACAATAACGAATAAACAAATCAAAAAGTTGTTTTATTGAATAGCTTAATAATTATAAATATTTAGCTAGACTGAAAGAAGCGAGAATGCTCAAATTACTAAAATCAGGAATGAAAGAGAACACTACTAGACTTAAATAATAAAGTATTGTCAGGGAATACTATGAAAATTATGTGCTAATAAATTAGAAAATTTAGATGAAAGAACAAAACACTAGAAAAACAAATTGCTAACACTGACTCATAAGGAAATAGAAACTTCATATAGACTTAACAATGTTTAAAGTAATTGAATTGATATTTAGAGAAAAATAAACTACTCACAGAGAAAATACAAAAGCTCAGGCCCGTTTACTTCAATGGTGAATTTTAACATTTAAAGAATTAATACCATCTTTTTACAGACTCTTACAAAAAAATGGAGCAGGAGAAGTGTATACTCCCAATTCTCTGAGTCCAGTATTACCCCGATACAAAACCAAAAAAAGAAATAAAAGGAAAAGAAAATAGGAGAACTATATCTATATCTCTGTCTATCTATCTATCCATCTATCTATCTAGAGAGAGGCAAAATTTCTTAACAAAAAGCTAGCTCACCAGATCCATCCATATATAAGAGACTAGACATTGTAACAAAGTAAAATTTATCCCACAAATGCAATACTGATTTAACATGTAAAAATCTATTAATGTATGCAACATGTTAATGCAATAAAGGACGAATAAAATTATTGCAATAGAACCACAAGTAGCATTTAACAAAATCCAACACCTCTCCATTATGAGAATACTCAACAAACTATGAATATAAACAAAATTCTTCAATTTGATTTAGGGAATCTACCAAAAATCAATGGACAGCTGCATGCTTAGTGGAAAAACTGTATTTTCTTCATAAAATCAGGAACAAGGCAATAATGTTTTCTCTTACCACTTCTATTCAGTATTATACTGAAGTTTCTAGTAAGGGTAAAATAGCAATAAAGTGAAATAAAAGACACCAGGTTGAAAAAGAAGTAAAACTATGTATCTTTGTAGATGGCATGATTTTGCATATAAAACTCTTCTAAGACATTCACCACAAAACAAATTCTGCAAGGTTGCAGCATATAAGATTGCTATACCAATATCTTTTGTATTTCTATACACTTGCAAGGAAAAATCCAAACATGTAATTAAGAAAACAATTTATAATAGCAGCAAAAATTGCTTAGAAATTTAACAAAAAAGTCAAAACTAATACTCCATATCAGATAACTTAATTAACAATTAACACTAAGATAGTAACAAGCCTATATAAATCTACAGATTCAGTGCATTCTCTGTCAAAATTCCAGCTGTGTATTTGTAGATATTAATAAGTTGGCCCAAACACTCATATGGACATTCAAAATATCCAGATTGCCAAAACAATCTTGATAAAGAACAAGACTATATTATTCACACTTCCCAAACTCAAAACTCACTACAAAGTTACAGAAACCATGACAGTGTGGTATTGGCTAAAGGCTATATATGTATACATATGCTATGGTTTGGATGTTTGTCCCCCTCCAAACCTCATGTTGAAATTTGGTTCCCTATGTTGGAGGTGGAGCCTAACGGGAGGTATTTGGGTCATGGAGGTGGATCCCTCATGAATAATGTCCTTTCTTGAGGATAGGTGAGTTCTAACTCTATTAGTTCCCACAAAAGGTAGTTGGTAAAAAGCACTTGGCACCTCTCCCTTCTCTCTCACGTGCTTCCTCTCCTGCCATGTGATCTCTGCACATGCTGGCTACCTTTCACCTTCTGCCATAAGTGGAAACCCCCTGAAGCCCTCACCAGATGCAGAAGCCCAGTCTTGAACTTTCCATAGCAGAATCATGAGCCAAACAGACTTATTTCCTCATAAATTACCTAGTGTCAGTTATTCCTGTACATTAATGTAAAACAAACTGAGACAGACACATACACACATACACATACACACTCTAAACTACTCAAAAAGAAACACACAGACACATATATATGAATGTAATAGAAATGGGAGTTTCAAAATAAACCTTTACATTTATAGTCTATTTTTGAGAAGGGTGACAACTGAAATCTTTTCAACAAATGGTGCTGGTCCCACTGGATATCTACATGCAAAGGATTAAATTGGACCCCTATTTTACATAATTTACAAAAATTACCTCAGTGAATCAAAAGCCCTAAATACAAGAGGTAAAGAAATTAAAGTCTTAGAATAAAATGTAAGTCATCACCACCTTGGACCAGGCAATCATTTATTAGTTATGACATCAAAATCACAAGCAACAAAGAAAAAATATGTAAATTATACTTCATTAAAATTCAAAACTTGTATTCTTCAAAGGACACTATCAAGAACCTATAGAGTGAAAGAAAATATTTACAAATCTCGTATCTTTAATAACTTCTATCTAGACAACATAAATAACATTTACAACCCAATATCACAAATTACCCAACTAAAAAGTCGTCAATTAAATTAACACATGTTTTTACAAAGGTTTAAATGGCCAATAAACATATGAGAAAATGCTAAACAATATTAGCTGTTAGGGAAATGAAAATAAATGTCACAGTGAGGAACAACTTCACACTCAGAATTATAGTGACTTATATAATTAGCGATTTAATTATATCACTATATATAGTGATAGTCACTAAGGTGACCATCATTAAGATGCAGGTAATGACAAATAGCAACAAGGATGTGGAAAAACTGAAACCCTCATACACTACTAGAGAGAATGTAAAATGAGGCATACACATTGACAGTCTGCCAGTTCCTCACAAGTTTAAACGTAGAGTTGCTACCCTTACTCCCAAGATAAATGAAACCATATAGTCACACAAAAAATTGTTCATGAATATTTATAGCAGCCTCATTCAGAAAAGTCAAAAAATGAAAACAACCTAAATGTCTACTGATTGATGAATGGATAAACAAGATATGGTATATCCACATAAGGGAAATTATTTGCCAATAAATAAAGTACTGATGGAAGCCGTACCATAGATGATCCTTGAAAACATTTATTCTAAGTAAAAGAAGCCAGTAAATAGGATCACATATTATATAATGCAATTTATATGAAATGTCCAGGATGTGAAAATCAATAGAAAAAGTTAATTAGTGGTTGACTAGAGATAGAGGGAATGAGGATAACAGTATGTGACTGTAAAAGGGTACAATTGCAGGATTTGGGGGGATGATGAAAATGTTGTAAAATTGTGGTAATGGTTGCACAACTTTGAATAGACTAAAAGCCATAGAACTGTACATTTTAAATATGAATTTAATTGTATATAAATTACATCCCAATGAAATTATTACTAAAAAAATGTGAATTATTTCCTTCAGGCATCATGTTTGATTCTTTTGGAGCCAAGGAATAGAATCTCTTGGTGTACTCCAAATTACGGGAAGTTTGATATAAATATAAGAAGAAATTTGGTCATTTTTCCTGTCCTCATCACAAATTGGGGAAGCCAAACACTATATCTCATAGGGGACCCAGAAACAGTAACCAAATTGACCTCTCCAAAGTTTTAAAAGCTTACCAGAGACTTATAAGTGCTGTCAGCCCTTTGAAAGTTTGTTCAGAATACTAAGTAGCCTGAGAATACAGGTTAGCTTATGCTTTCGATGATAACATTCACTTGAGGACACAGCATTCTTGTTTATTTTCCATGTGTATCTTTTTGCTTCTTATTGAAATTAATTATTCCTCATTCTTTGGACCTAGTTTTCAAATTTCAGACAGAAAATATTCTGATTGAATTTCATTTACATCACCAGCATTTTTTGCTGGTGTAACGCTTGACATGTGATTTTTATGAGTCTGCATAAAACTCTGACTCTCTCATGAACCAGATATATTTAGAGCATAATCATGTAACAAAGCATGTGTCAATTGAATGAAAACTCATAAGAAAACAAGTTGAAAAATCTCATTGCTATGGTTTGAATGTGTTCCCTCCAAAATTCAGGTGTTACCAATTGTGATAATGCTACGAGGTGAGGCCTTTAAGAAGTAATTAGGCCATGAGGGCTCTTCTTGCAGGAACGGAGGTAAGGCACTATTGAAGAGGCTTTGAACATTGTTCAGCTAGCTTGCCCTTCCACCTTTTGCCATGTGAGAGCACAGTTTTTCTTCCCTCTGGAGTGTGCAGTCCTCATTAAACAACTGAAAATGCTGGCACCTTGATCTTGGACTTCCTATTCACCAGAACTATAAGAAAATTAATCTATCTTGTTTTTAAACTACCTAGTCTCAGGTAATTTTTTATAGCAGAACAGACACATTAAAACAGTACGTCCAGTAAATCACTTGGATTTTTCTTTACTAACATCCTAGCATTCAAAAGAACATGACTGTTCCGTTAAACAAATACTAAAGGGCAGTATCATCAGGGACCACTTGGATTCTGGAGACAAAATATGAATATAGTCTCTCTAGTCAAGAGTTTAAGACAAAGAAATATCCATTGTAAATGTGTATGTAGAATTCCCCTAGTTGACATGTGTAGTCATGTGGAAACATGATCTTCCATATGAAACTCACCCTTCCATAAAGCCTTCTATATCACCAGCCTTTCAAAATATTCATTCGCGTTAAGGTCAATGCCATCATTCCTACTGGTAAATCAGTAATTTGTTTTCATAGCAAATATTTCCAGTGCTGTTACTCAAGAACTATAACTAGAAATTATTCAAAGTCATTAATGTGGCCATTAATGTTCCTGAACCTTGTTTTCAACGTAGTGAAGTCCAATTTCCATTTTAAATGCAAGCCTAAAGTGTCCACATTGTATCACTGAAGCAGCAGATGTCAATTTGCTAAAAGCACTTTTTAATCCATCAAACAGCTATGCCTAGAGTAACCATAAAGCCAAACTTGACTGCCTTGACTGCTTGGAGATGAGACTTTCAGGGCCCTTTAAAATATGAGGTCATGAAATAAACAATCTTTAAAATGGTCTTCTACCTTCCAGTTTTCTAATTTCTAAATGAAATTGCTTACCACCTCGAGGGGATGGGAAATAAGCATTAAAATAGACATTCAACAGAAAATTTACGTTGCAGGGAGGGACTGTGATGACAGAAGAAACTGAAAAGATCAGTGTTAACTACCAACTCATATGGCTTCAGACATATGCTCCTTATGAGCCAGAAGTTCTTTGGATTACAGCAATTATAAAGTAGGAGCTCATCCTGTGGATTATGAAGAGATAGCTTCAAATCCTCTTAGAAATACTGTCAGTCTCCTTAATATTCAGCCCTTTGCACAACACTTACCTATTCGCAGAAAGAAGAGCCAAATATCAATAATTAGTTGGACTCTCACACTGACCAGAAACTAACTGAATTTTTATCGCCAGTATTTTAACCTTCAGTGCTTGAGTTACTTTGAAAATATACCAGGTAATGTTAAATAGCTGGTATGATAAAAGTAGAGGAAAAATGCATGGTTTCTGATCAGTAAAAACAGTTCATTACTTCTTTACAATAACATTGTCAAAGAGCAGAGAACTATGTAGTTTAATTTAACAAAGCAGTTATTGAGCACTTATTATGTACTCAATGATGCAAAAATAAATTTTAAAAAAAGCAGCTAGAAGAACATACTAACAGAAGTGAAGAGTGAGATGGGATAGCCTACCAGTAAGAAAAAGGCAGAAAGTTACAAACACAAACAAACAAAAATAAGTAGCAGAGTTCTCTGGGACTGTTTGGAATATTTCCAAATCAACAAAACCAGAAGGCAGGAACTATAACACGTTATGTCAATTTATGTACTTTAAGAATTATGAATCATTCAAATATTTCAAAAGTTCAATTTAGTGTTTTAGAAGATAAAAGAATGGTGATGAAGTTTGGATTGCAGTTTTTAAGAACATTTTAATTATTTCCGATGAGGTAAATTTTAATTTTCTTGAAATTCACATACAAATAATGATCCTTTATCTAACACTACAAAGATAGTGAGATGTTACTGTGTTTGTATCTCTGTGAATGTGCATGCCCACATTTATACAGTTAAGTTTACTTAGACACAGACAAGAAATTACGCTCAATTCTTCCAGATTTGTTCAGTGAGGTTTATTATCAAGTGTGTATGCAAACAGCAGGGGCTTGTATGCTTCCTTGAAATAAACGATAATATATGTGTAATAAAAATACTTGGATCTATAATTGCACTATAGCCTATGTAGAAGTAAATACAAATAAAAAGATCTTGTTTTACTCCACAGGGCTTTTTTTTTTTTTTTTTTTTTTTTTTTTTACCTTAAAACACGGGTCCTGTTTTCATAGTTATGTATAACCTGGGTCAGCTTCACAATATGCAGCCAACTACAAATCAAAACTTGAGAGTAGTGGAGAGTTTATAAGGCCTCAAAATCTCACCATTATTGCAAATGACACTGACTAAAATTAGTTCTTTTTCAGGCTATCTCTTTGGGGTTTCAAATAGTTTGGTCTAATAAGACACTCCTTATTGGAATGAAATACTCAAGGGAGAGAAGCATTTCTTAAGCTGTTATCAGTGTCCTCATTAGTGGTGTTTAATTGACAGCTAGCAGAGGTGCCCGAGGGAAGATGGGGGCTGGAAGTCAGGGTACCACAGATGAGCAACCTTGGATTCACAGTTTTGGCCCAATACTGGCCTCAACTAACTCTATACCTCTAATAATACTAAGCTTTCTCCTGTTATCTCCTTTGACTGGTTTAGGTTAAAAGTTCCATTTTGTTGGTCATTGACCTTGAAGTTTCTGTGAGACCAACCATGATATATTTAAATGTACCAATTTAAAAATAAGTGGAAAATAACTTTTCTAATATTTTATAGTCGAGCTCCCTGTAAGCTATAAGTGTGTGGGTGTATGTGTATGTAGACATAGACATAGATATACATGTGTATGTAGACATAGATATATACACATATGCAGACATAGATATGCATACATGTATGCATGTAGACATAGAGATATATACATGTATGTATGTAGACATAGATATATACATGTATGCATGTAGACATGGATATATACATGTATGCATGTAGACATGGATATATACATGTATGCATGTAGACATGGATATACACATGTATGCATGTAGACAGATATATACATGTATGTAGACATTGATATATATACATGCATGTAGACACTGATATATACATGTATGTATGTAGACAGATATATATACCTGTATGTATGTAGACATATATACATGTATGTATATAGACACACATACATGTATGTAGACATATATACATGTATGTATATAGACACATATACATGTATGTATATAGACATATATATGTATATATGTGTATATACACTTTATATACACATATACATATATATGTCCATACATGTATATACATACATGTGTATATATACACACGTATATATACGTGTGTATATATACTTGTATACACATGTATATACAGAAATATACGTATATATACGTGTATATACATGTATATACACACATGCATATGTGAATGGTACTAGTGAATGGTACTATTGGCAGGCAGGGTAAAGAATGCCTGCTATCAGCACCACCACACCCTACCGTTGTGTGCTATAGGCATGCAGTGGTGGGGTAATCAGAACACAGATGGGTAAAATCCATTTCATACACATATATACATATATACGTATATATGTATATACACGCATGTATATACACACGTGTATATATACGTGTGTATGTATGTATATATACATGTGTGTATATATACGTATATACATGTGTATATTTATGTATATATGTGTGTGTGTGTATACACACACACACACACACACACACACACACACACACCCCTAACAGTTTGGAGCTGGGAAAAGAACTTAATAAACTGCTTTCATATACTTATTTCTTTAATTGTTGTAAGTAATATATCTACAGGACTTAAAAACTAATACAGTATTACAAGGCTTATTATGAAAAACAATAATTCCTCAACTCTACCCTTCCTCCTCCCTAGCCCTACTACCGGAATAAATTAGTACAACATTTCAACGTTTTAGCTGTTTTTATATTTGCTTCCAGATTTCAGATATAGAACCACTCTTAGACCAGGTAAGCAAGAATCTAGTTCCAATAAAGTGGCTTCATTACAAGTTGCCTCCTGCTGGATGATGCAAGTATTTCTCTTTAGATTGTATAAGATTAAAGTGTTGAAATGATGCCGTCTTGCTGATTTGCAGTGATTCTCTCTTATTTGTGTCAGATCCAGGATGAGTTCAGACCCTGGGCTATCCATGGACCATGGCTGACCCTTGGCCTAAAGCCACATATCCAGGCCTATGAAATGGATTTGACCCATCTGTGATCTGATTACCCCACCACTGCATGCCTACAGCACACAAGGTAGGGTGTGGTGGTGCTGACAGCAGGCATTCTTTACCCTGCCTGCCACTAGTACCATTCACTAACTCCATGCCACTTGTCAGGCAGTCTCCAGGAGTGGCTGTGCCATTTCCTCCAAGGTTCTGAAGACTGTTGTTCTACAGGACCATGAGCCCTTCTAATCAGTGTTCTTTATCACCTGCAAGGAATGCGAAAACATCATGTTCCAGGGACAGTCTTCATTTGCGCTAGACAAAAGACAAACAATCCTTCCTTGAATGGACCCACTCTTCTTTTTTCACTCATCTCCTCTCACTGATCTCCCTGCTGGTGGTGGCGGATAGAAGGCAGAGATGTGGTCAACACCAAATGAGATTATGTTCTGGGAATTCAGAGATTACAGTCTGAAGAATTCAAGATAAGGTATGATGCTTCTAAACATATGAGTGTCTCTTTTCTCTACATCTTCAATAAATCACTTCCTTATATTTGTCATGGGCCCATGAATTTTGTTACAAATTTTAATTCAAATTGTTTATGAAACAGATGCCCCACCAAGGTATTATCCTCAGTCCCACATACCCTAGGGGAGGTCCTGTTTAACAACAAAGTGATGCTGTTTCTTGATTTCATAATTTTAGACATTATCTATTGAGTTCCTGCTATAGAAGATTAGAAATAATCTTATATTTTGCCACCTTTGTGCCCTACCTCTAGCCTAGCAATTTCACATTTTTGGTTAAATATTTTAGTTTGCATTTTTATGTTTGTTTTACCTAGAATTTGTTCATATATAAAATGAGGATAACAAATTACCAAGGTTCTAAAGTTGCTAAGGTTATATATAAAATACATTTAAAAACTCAGGGTAGTTACCTGGCACAATTTAGCACTCCAGAAATGCTTTCTACCGTCAATGCTTAGTTTACTTAGCATTTATTCTTTTTCCAAACCTTTGGGAAGAGTTGAAAATTTCCTCTTAACATGGTCAGGTGATCAAGCAGTTATAGTGTTTTTTTTTCTCCTTTGACTGTAACTCTCTTAAAATTTTCTGCCTGTTTGCTGGAAGATATTATCAAATAGAGAAATATCAAGTAGAGACCCGAGGACTTCCTAGACTACTGCACAGTATTATCCTGATTTTTTCCTTCAAGCCTCATGAGTATTAGTCCATTTGTTGAATTACACAACTTTATCTTAATTTACTCTCGATTTTGTGGAAGGAACATATATCAATAAAGTGTATTAATGTGCATGATATGCAAAACTTGTATGTTTTACCCATCTAAAGCTATCTTCGTTTTATACTGCACTGGAATAGTTTGAGTGTGGACTTTTAAGCTGAGAAAGACTATTATTCTGATTCCTAATCCTTTGATGAAATTTTGTTCGTCTTTCTCAGATGATGGACACATACATATATACCTATCTGCATGTAGAGATCTATAATAGATATTGTCCCCCTAAGAATGTTTAAGGTCTTTAAGAGCACTAAAATTGCATAGTAATTTGACTTGGTTCATGTGACTTATTAATTTCAGACTCTTCAATGACTGGTTCCTTCAATCTGGAATCACATGTCACTTTTTCTCAGGGAAAGTTTATTTTAAATTTTTGATAATATACTTGAGAGTATCTTCCAGTCTATTTTGCCTTTTCTCATATTTTGAAATTCCCAGTTTAAACCTGATTTACATGGCTTTACTCCTCATTTCTTCTTTCTATATTTTTCCTATACTTTTGAGTCAGAGCCTCAACTTTCTCCAATAAGCCTTCAAAAAATGTTTCTACTAAAATGTACTTTTTCAAATTTTCAATATCTATTTAATTCCTTAAATGTTCTGTTTTAGCATTTATTCTTTTTGTTTGTTTGTTTGTTTGTTGGAGTCTTGCTCTATCGCCCAGGCTGGAGTGCAGTGGCATGACCTCAGCTCACTGCAACTTCCTCCTCCTGGGTTCAAGTGATTCTCCTGCTTCAGCCTCCCAAGTAGCTGGGATTACAGGCATGCACCAGCATGCCCAGCTAATTTTTGTATTTTTAGTACAGACAGGGTTTTGCCATGTTGGCCACGCTGCTCTCCAACTCCTGCCCTCAGGTGATCTGCCCGCCTCTGCCTCCCAAAGCGCTAGGATTACAGGTGTGAGCCACCACATCTGGCCAAAATAGCATTTATTTTCATATTATGATGCCATATCTTGTCTTGATAATATAGTTGCTGTTCATGTTGTATTTGTTGTTTTTGAAGTTTTCTTCCCTTTAAATTTTCCATATTTCCTCAGAGTGCTTTTTGTTTTGTTTTACACACACACACACACACACACACACACACACACACACACACACGGCTTGGCATCTGTCTTTAAATTTTGTAAATTTCCTCAAATGTGTAAGCTAGCCATTCCTATGTAAGATTGACTCATTTTACAGGTAATCAGAATATCTGTACGGTGAGAAGTCCCAAAATATGAATGAGTTTGACTTGTTTGGTGGCCACTGAACTGTTTTATTAATATCAGCATTTATACATTTTTTGGTTCACAATGTCCCTCCTAGTTGGTAGTATAAGCCTGGCTTTCAGGATTCTAGAAGCTGAGTGAGAGAAGCAGGAGGATATCTCAGCATTTAGTGAGAAGACATTTACCTAATGTCCTGTTTTAATATATTCATCGACCCTCAAGGCCTCTAAATTTTGCTCAATGTGTACAAATCTAGAGCTTATTACCTTTAATTTTTCAGAGTAGATTCTTTTCCTGATAAGCTAGACGAGGGATAGTCATCTTGCTGTGTGGGTTAACGTGGGTATGTTGGCCAAAGAACAATCTAAGTGCTTTTGAAACAGTTCAAAAAATACTCTTCCCTGCTTTAATTCCCATTTCTTATCCCCACTTTAAAGTGAACTGGTGTCTCCTCTTCCTGAGACTGGTTTTGCAGCATAAATAAGGTTACTTATCACTGTCTTCTGCCTCATCCAACTGATGGATTTTAGCTTTGTCTATTACGCTGGGTAACCACTACTCTTAATTTCCCTAAATTTTAATGCCATTGTATCTCTTCACCTTTTCCTTTAGGTGTCTATAACTTTTAAAGAATTCCTTATACTCACAGAGATTTTGGATAAAGCATATAAGAACTGAGAGTATTCTGCTTATGATGTTTAATAAATATAATTTCAACATTTTATAACTGATTAACTTTAGGTGCTTGACACAGTTTGAGGCATGTGGTACACATTCCATTCCATCTGTTAAAATTATTATTAATAATGTGAATTCAATTATTGTTACTGGAAGTTTGTTGTTGCTCTTTCAATTGTTCTTTTCATGGTCACCAAGGTAGATAATGGCAGAAGTGGAATGCAAACCTTAGCTTTCCAGTCAAACCTTAACTTTCCAGCTTCCCTTCTTCATTCATTTCAGAAATAACGCATTCTTCAAAACCTCTGATCTTCTCTGTGATTAAAATTGTCTCCTATAGAAACATCTGAATTCAAGGCAGAACCTATGAAAGACATCAATAAGTAGATGTCTTATTCCAGGTTCTAACCTGGAATAAAAGGTTTTTATTTTGAGTGTATTTGTAAGTGGTTCCTTTTGTCTGAAAGTGCACATCTATTTAGATTCCTGATTACAGCGTGAAATGATGACCTTTTAAATATTTTTGAGTACCCACAAGGAGGTAAGCCATTTTTTAAGGGACTAAGAATACAGATATTAATTGTAGTCCTATTTTGAAGAAGTTCACTTACTAGAGCTTAAACAGATGAATTATAACAATCAGATAACTGAGCTAATGGCTCATGAAAAAATAATTCAGAGATCAGACGAGGTAATTACCACTTTAGCTGGAGAATCAGACTTCTCTATAATGGTGTGAAACGAGTTTGTATGGACAGTAAGGAGTAGGCATTAGACTCATATTTCAGGCAAAGGTAATGGAGGAAGAAGGAAAAACGTTGTGAAGGCATGTGCAGTGCTGTTCACAAAGTATGTGAACTGTGGTTAGAGCAGGGGTTTATAACTTTTTCAGTCAAACTCTCACATAATCCAGTCAATTCTGATCTTACTTTGGCTCCTTGACTTAAATTTTTCATGCTAGAAACCAAATGCTGATTTGCACATGTTGCATAAACAATTCAGCTCAACCTGCAGTTTGAAACAAAAATTTTAATGCTTGTCAAAATGATGAAATATTTACGATTTATCAGAGTAGTGATGGAAAAGCCACAGACCTAGAAGCTATGTGGAAAGGACTACTGGAAAGCAAGATGAGGGAGATGAAATGAGGCTTGAGTTTGATAGCACTGGCAATAAGTAGCCCTGAAAAAGGCATATTTAAAACTGATGCTATTAAGCAACTTAGTAGCATAATTAAATTTCTACTGTATAGCATATTATTTCTACTGTAAAAATGGGAGATGAAGTAGAGTGAGGAAAGAGTTGGAAAACAGAAACCAGTCCCTTGACCTACTGAGTCTGTTTTATAGTCCATCAATTAACCCCCTATAATTTGTATATCAGATTTGCCCTGACCTTAGCAAGAACTGTGAACTGGTTGGCCTTATACCTGATTACCATTCTCTACATTTCTATAAAACTTGGTTTATCCTATGACACTGGTATGGTTTATGAGTGTGGTCTGCCTACCCCTCACCCATGCTAATGCCCTATTCCCTCACAGTTCATAGTCCACAAACCACACACTTAAATAGCATCATTCACTTGACCTGTTTGGGAAAAGAATGTTTAGAAATTGTTAGAAATTGCCATTCTGAAAGTTGACATGAAGTAATGAGCACACCAAGCAAATGATTTTCAGAACATACACTCTGCCAGAACAATCTATTTTAGACAAACAATGGGAGGCTTAAAATAGCCACAGTGTCATGGCCATTTTGAAATGAATAAAATGTTTTAGGTGACAAAGGGACATGTTTGCTCTCGGTCACAAGGGAGACTGAACAAGATTCTGTGATGTGCTACTATAAAAAGGAAAAAGAATAATGTGTTCATGACTTCATGCATATGAAAGTCATATTTGTACTTTCTAGAGGCTTTGGGGTATTATTTTTTAACTAATGATAAATTCTCCTCAGCAACTTGGCAACATTTTCCTATAATTACTCCTCCTTTAAAAATATATTTCTTGGCTGGGCACGGTGGTTCATGCCTATATCACAGCATTTTGGAAGGCCGAGGCAGGCAGATCATGAGGTCAAGAGTTCGAGACCATCCTGGCCAACAATGTGAAACCCTGTCTCTACTAAAAATACAAAAATTAGCTGGGCATGGTGGCATGCACCTGTAGTCCCAGCTACTCGGGAGGCTGAGGCAGGAGAACCGCTTGAATCCCGGAGGCGAGGGTTGCAGTGAGCTGAGATCACATCACTGCTGCATCCAGCCTGGTGACAGAGTGAGACTCCATCTCAAAAAAAAAAAAAAAAAAAAAGTCTTTCTTTTTATAAGATTATTGCTTTGCATTTCTCAGTATAAAATAAATCTAAATACTATATATGTGTACACCATAATATCTGCAGCATTATAAATATCTGCAGCATTATAAAGAATGGCATTTTAAAATCAATAGTATAGGGCATAGAATTAAATTGTGCCACATAAATTTCTAAAACCTCATTATATTTTATATCTACACTGTATGAGAATTATCTCTGACCTATAGAAACTTAAAATATAAGAATTGGAAGAAATTACAAATCCTGTTATATCAGTCACAGTAATGACATAAATCAATGGCACACTTAAAGATCTCCATGAGCAGAATTTAATAAAGGGGCATCTCATAGAGTTTGAAATCTACAATAAATGGTGAAGTACCCAAGGACTATCAATAATGGGAAGCCATTATTACCATTATCACCAGTGACCTGATGGAACAAGGCGCTAAAGAAGAATTGTCAATGGTAGGAGCCAAGGAAGACAGACTGACCCACATGAGTCGTAACTGTACAGTAAATACAGCAGTTGCCCAAACTATGGCCAACCACAGAGAGGCATGAAATAGCAAGGAAGAGTCATATCTTGATCTTTCTTTACTTTTATATATTTTCAACTTCTGTTTGTCTTTTTCCAGAAATCAAGGGACTATAGCATTTACATGTTGCAATCTGCAGGGATTAATCTTTCTAGGCACAAAGCTAAAAATAACAGTATAAAACTTATGGGTACACCACTACTTTTGCCACTCAACATTCATCACTATCAACATTCCTGTAATTTATTCATGTAAACAACTTCCCATTTCCCCAGGGAGGAAAATGTAATGTCTAATCAGCCAACATATACTAGCTAGCAGGGCATGATTTTATCAGTAGCAATTAGCTACAATTGGTACTTATCTATACATTTTTAGAATAAAAAGGACAAAAAATAGTCAACACTGAACAGAGCTGCTACAGTCCCCACTTTTTAGCTGGTAGTAAGCCGCAAATGAGTAATCATAGCTTTATATACTGTGTGTTCTATCTTCTGCTGCCTTCTACCAACACTGCCAATAGTTGTGAAGTTTTTTTTTTTTTAATTTTTTTTTTTTTTTTTTTTTTTGAGACGGAGTCTCGCTCTGTAGCCCAGGCTGAAGTGCAGTGGCACCATCCAGGCTCACTGCAAGCTCTGCCTCCCGGGTTCACAACATTCTCCTGCCTCAGCCTCCCGAGTAGCTGGGACTACAGGCGCCCACCACCATGCCTGGCTAATTGTTTTTGTATTTTTAGTAGAGGCGGGGTTTCACCGTCTTAGCCAGGATGGTCTCGATCTCCTGACCTCGTGATCCGCCCACCTCGGCCTCCCAAAGTGCTGGAATTACAGGTGTGAGCCACCGCGCCTGGCCGTTGTGAAGTTTTTGTTTGTGTTTTTCTTTCCTGGGGGAATAACTCAAACTTCTATCATTACAACTTCTAAGTCCCCGTAGGACCTTTCTTCATGAGACTACTTCTGTTTTTTTATTAATTACTATTATTGAAATGGGAACACTGAGCTACACCCAAGTGATTCTCCAGGTTCCAGACATAGTCCTACATGCTATATCATGCAGCCATAATCTAATTTACTCTAGGTTATGGGTATCAAGCATCTTGCCCAGTATAATGATTCAGAAGCATGCCAATTTAGTAGAATAAAATTGTCAGGGTGCACTCTCAGCTTCTAACTGATAATAATCAAACTATGTTTCTAGAGGAATTAGTTTTTCTGGAGCACTTTTATGTCCAAACACACCAAGTCCAAGACTGTGGGAATAGGAAGAAAAGTAATTTTAGTAGATTGTTGAGTATAATTATGAGAAGAGCCACCACACCTTAACCTTTAGGTTCTGGACCCTTGAAAACTGGGAAATTTGCAAAAGGTCACACCTTAAACTGGCTTTAAGGCATACATTATACCCTTTGAGAAGGCACACCAATATAATTAGTTGTTATTCTGCAGCTTGCTCTGTAATTGATACCAACAAACCTTTCTATAGTTCTAACAATCCATATGCTTTTGAGTAATGGAGCCCAGGAAACAACCTGTGAATGTCATCAGTGAAAGCCCATTGCAGACCGCTACAAGAGGCTTGCTTACGTGTAGAGAATGGGTCAGCTTTTTAACCTGATTGTTGATAAGCTTCTCTGCCCTGGAAAATCTTCAGTGGGAATTTACATGAATACAGATATACTCATAGTCTACCTATTCTGTAAATTCCTGTCTGGAAAACTCCCTTGTAACCAGACTTCAGGCTGTCCTTTCCAAGTCCTCGGGAAATTGGGCAACCCATTAATCACTTTTCATGAGTCCGTGAGGATCCCTACACTCCAAGCCATCTCTCATTCTAGACGGTGGAAACCCAGATACTTTGCCCAAAGTTCTTCTCACTGGCAAGTTTCCTTTTCATACTATTAGGGTTACCTGTAAGTGAGGTTGTAGTGCAGCACTATGTACTTCCAGCAGGGCTAAATGCCATGCAGACTTATTTATATGCCAAGTCTACACATGGTTAACTAGGCCCCCTGTTAACTCAACACAGGAAACTCCACATGAGGCCACACATTTAGGTATAAAGAGAAGTAGTGAAGTGTTTAGAGCAGGGAGCAGGTAACATATGAATATGAGCAATATTTGTATCCAACTTGCTTGTGCCTTCAAGACTTCCTTGGGTACATTCATAACATACAACTTTCATTTAATAGAAAGTTTATCTTTCTATGTCCAACTTTCTGATTGAGTGGATCAAATTCACATTTAATATTGGGCATCTTGGGTTTCACATTCATTTAATTTTCTATGATCAGGCACTATGGCTCTATCTTGATGCAATTGCAAGATAGAAACTATTTTGCTAAATGTAAAATTTTTGTCAGCAGAATATAGAATATACCATGACCTTATTTCAACATTTGTGGGTCTTCACTGTGATTCTTCTATTGGGAGTTGCTGAAGGCTTCAGACTGTATCTCGTTATGGTATAGACTGCTAAGGCACAATCTAGGCTGCTGGAACACATGACCCAAGTGGTATAGGTGCTTGCATCACAGCCTGGATGTGATACAAATCCTTTTTTTGCTCTGGCGCTGCTAAAACTGGCAGTATTATAGACTATCTGGTAAATGAATTAGAGGATTATACTCCTCCCTCTAAAATCTAAACATTTCTCTTTTCAACCTAATGGGTGGCTCAAAAAGCAGCAACTTGTCTTTCACTTTAAAGGGGATCTTATGACGTGCCCAGAAAACTGGACCCCTAGAATCTCCAAATATATGGCATACCCCTGACATTTCTCACAAATTCTAGTACTCTGTTTTCTAGGGTATCAAGGATGTTTCCAGTTTCCTGCTCGCCAGGTTCAGTTTGCATAAGAGCATCAATATATTAGAAAAAGGTGACATTCTGAAGGATAACAAGATGATCAAACTTCTTCAGGCTAAGTCATCACAGAAGGCATGACAGTTGATATAACCCTGAGCTAAGACAGTATTAGTGTACTGTTATTCTTGAAGAGATAAAAACAAACTGTTTCTGATGTCTTTACTGATTGCACAGAGTATAAATCATTTCTTAGATCAATAGCTACATAACAGTATTTTGTTGATATCAGTATGGAATAGTAGCTGTGACTAGTATAATTGATTGAATGAATTTAAAATTACCTAGTCATTTTCCAAGAGTTATTTGACTTTCTCACAAGCCCCAGAAGGGAACAATAGATATTGTAAGTTTCACTGGGGCAATGCACTATGGACTACTAGAGGGCTGAAGGAAAGAGGTGGACATGGGTTCTAAACTACCTGTTAGATACTGTACTCATTACCTGGGTGATGTGATCTGTACCCCAAACCTCAGCATCATTCAATATACCCATGTAACAAATTTGCACATGTACCCCCATATCTAAAATAAAAGTTGAAATTATTAAAAACAAAAAAGGAGCAAAAGAGAAGTAATAAAAAGAAGCAAAATGAAATAAAATAAATAACTGAAACAATGACAATAGTTGCCAGAATCTCACTACCCATGCAGTTTTGACACTGCTGGTGGAAGAATATTCTCTGAAATTCCCCCAGGGATGCATTATTGCCTTTGGTTTCAATATGGCTAAGATGACAGTTAAGGCATGGCAGGTGACAATTCCAGAGATCCTTCCTACCATGGTACCCCACTGATACATTAAGAAATCAACTGGAGATTCTGTAATTTAGTATCTATTCCTACTCTACATTCTGGGGCATAGAAAATAACCACAGGATAGGTCCATGGATCAACTGGGCTTATCCTGAGATTTATATAGACCAAGACTCCATCTGTCACCTAATTACCATGATCACAGAGGTGACTAGACAACTCCCAGCAACTTTATATACATGAAAATCAATTTAAGACTAACTCTGTGCTTGTATATACATCTCTGGAAAGTATTAACCCAATCCTTTCAAATTTCTATTTTTCATCACTTTACATAATCAAGCACTTCAAAAGAAAATACTGCCCTAGTGGCATGTCTACTTTCCTACCTTCAGGCAAGCATTTTCTTAAAGTAACTGAACAATGACTCTTGCGTTCTATAAAATTGTGCCTTTCTCATTAATTCATTCAACATTTATTTATTAAGCACATACTAACAGCTCAAAAAAACAACTAGGCCTTAAGGATAAGAAGAACAATATCTGCACCTTGCCCCAGTGAAGCTTACATTGTAGGTTGAAGATAAACGTACATAAATACTTAATTATGGTGTGAAAATAAAGACAAAGGAAAAGTAGATCAGTGATAACACATATAAGGGAGACATCATTTGATCTGAGAGGCACCAAAGACTTCCTAGGAAGCAGATTTTTGAGTTAAAGGCTGAGAGATGCATAAGATATTAAATCAAGTTTAGAAATGTGGGAGGGAAGAAAGTTCTATGGGGCTGGAAGATCGGTTCCAAAATTCCAGGCAGACAGAAAACTATGACAATCTTAAGGAAAGCAGATATAATGGAGGATTCTGGAAGTTATACATCAATGATCAGACACATACAAGTTTCAGGTTATCAAATAAAAGTTTAGTTTAAAATGAATAAATTTATACATACCAAAACATATTTTAGATGGTAGCGGGAAGTTAAAACTGAAGCCTGGAGTAAGTAGCTCTTGTATTTGCCCAGTGTTGGCAGATCTAGATTTCAGCAGTTAAAATGAATTAGGTTTCTTGTAATCCCAAGAGCTGGAGTTAATTTCAAGTTGCCCTCTTCAACCCTTCCCTGTACACAAAGTAAACTTGAGAGGAGAGAACAACATGATCACCAGAGAAAAGACAGGAAGCACCAGAAGTAAGGAAAGGGCTTGAGGCAGCTTGCCTGGTCCAGGGACTGACTGCGGGCCAGGAGAGATTTCTGAATACAGGCAAATAGTGAGAGAGAAATCCCCAGGGCTCCACAATCCAAAACGGGCTTCTACAATCTTCGCTACAAGAGAAACCCTCCACTCACTAGGGCCTTGTTCCTGACATACAGAACTGCCTAAAGATTGCACAGAGACGCTGCTGCAGAAAGGGAACCCACAAGGAATCCCACAGGCATCCAAGCCTAGAGCAGCCTCAACGGGGTGCCATTTTGGGAGCTTAAATACCAGAGATCTACAGACATGGCTGTTGCTGCTAAACTGCTCCAAGGAAGGAGAAAGGAGACTGGGTGCTCCCACATATCCCCAGGAGGGTCCGTACCACCCTGCTACAGCCTGCTGTTAAGACTGAGACCTGAATCACACTATTCACAGCTCCTTGCCCATGCTGCTTGCCACATGGGAGGGACCCTGCCCTCTGTGGTCCCAGTCTCGAGGCACCATTTTGAGAGTTTATGGCTACGTTGCCCCCTGCCCTCAGGCTGAGTTCAGAATGGTGCAGCTGCAGCCACATCACCTGCCCAAGGAGAGACAGGAAAACAGGCTGTTCTATACACATTTAGAACAATACCCATTTCCCTGCAATGGGCTTCTGTGAGACAGACTGCACCCCCCATAGCTTCCTGCTCACACTGCCTGCCTGGGAAGGGCCCTAGCCTCCCTTGTCACAAGACCAAGGCACCATTTTGAGACTCTAATGCTGAGCTGCACCCTGTCCTTGGGTCAAATTCGAGTTGATATGGCTGCAGCCACTGCCAGGCCAAAGGAGGACACAAAACCAGGCTTTCCTATGCATACCTAGGACAAAATCCACTGCTCTGCTACTGGCTACTGTGAGACCAAGACTTGAGTGAGCCACACTCCCCACATGCTTGCCCATGCTGCTCATCTGAGGGGGGCTCTGCCCTCTCTGGTGACAAGCTTACAGCTGTTAGTGTTTTGAGAGTTTAATTCTGGTATGTGCTTACTCTTGAGCCAAGTACTAAGTAGTGTGACTACAGGTACCATCCATATAGGGGAGGCACAGGGGAGCTAAGAACACTTAGGACAATACCCACTGCTCTTCTACAGGTAGCTGTGGGACGGGGACTAGCCTGCCCAATCCATTTCACCTCCCAGGAACATGAACATGAAACACTTGAGTCCCAGTGGGCTGCTCCGCCACCACTACTGCCATCACCCACATCATACTAGCTGTCCAGATACTGAAAAACTGCCCGAACACCTGCCCCCCAACTCCCACTCCTGTATTTGAGGCAGGTTGCCTGGAGGTTCAAGCATCAACCTTCCAGGACTCACTAACATCAGAGCAATGTAAACTGCTCTGAGGCCTAAAATCAGGCACATTTGTCCCACTGCTGCTACCACTGGGGCCTAAAGACTGGCTCAGTTTGTGTCCAACTGCTGAACAAAACTTCAATGCAAGCTCAAGTGATAACTATACTCTGAGCCATGGAGGAAATCACAGATACCACTGACCCTTTTTGCAATGTGTACTGCTGTGTACTGCTGAAGACATCATACAAAGATTATACTACCAAAGGAAGCCAAAATCAAAGCCAAAATATCCTACTCAACTGACAACATGCATACATTTTCAGAAAAAAATTACCCCCTACAAAAGCAGTTTTAAAAATTTGGAAAAGCAACTGCTACACTAGATAAGCATATATCAGTGAAAGGACACACTGATACTGAAGAAAAAACAGAGAAATATGACACCACCAAAGGACCACAACAATTGCCCAGCAACAGATCCCAATCAAAAAGAATTCCTCAAAATGCCAGATAAGGAATTTAAAATATTGATTTCAAAGAAGCTTTGCATTGGTTTTCAAATTACTCTTGCATTGAGATGCAAGAGAAACTTCAAAACCAATGTAAAGAAATCAGAAAATCAATTCAGAATATGAATGAGAAATTTACCCAGGACACAGATATCTTACAAATTTTTTAAAAAGCAGAAATTCTGGAACAAAAAAATTATCTGAAAGCCCTACAAAATACATTGGGAAGCTTCTGTAATAAACTAGACCACGCAGAAGAAAAAATCTCAAAACTTGAAGTATTTTGAAATAATCTAGTCAGAAAAATATTTTTAAAAATAGAATAAAAATGAATGAACAAAGGTTTTGAGACACATAGGGCTACATAAAACCTCAGAACTTATGCGTTATTGATATTTCCAGGAAGAAAGAGCAATCAAAATGTTTAGAAAACATATTTAAGGAAATAATCAATGAAAGCATCCCAAATCTATCAAGAGTGTCAGATATGAAGATACAGGAGGCTCAGTAATTCCCAGGAAAATATATCGCAGAAAGGACTTCATCATGGCATATTATGATCATAATGGCTAAAGTCAAAGTATAAAAAATAATGAAATTAGCAAGAGAAAAGCATCTAGTCATCTATAAAGTATACCCCATCATACTAAGCAGACCTTTCAGCAGAACTCTCACACCCCAGAAGAGAATGAAATGAAATTTTCAAAAGTGCTGAAAGAAAAAAACTGTCAATCAAAAATTTTATATCCTGCAAAGATAATTTTCATAAATAAAGGAGAAATCTTTTCCACACAGCCAGACACTGAAATAATTTGTCACCATCACAGTAAAGAAAATGATGGTCAGAGGTCTTAACGAAACAAAAGGCCAATATTAATTATTAGAAAAATACACAGAAATATAACACTCACAGTATGTATAAAACAACTGCACAAAGGAAGAGAAAATAATCAAATGGCAATACGTCAGAATTTCATCCATCCACCAAGACAAAAAGAGGGAAATAAAGGAAAAAAGTTATAAAACAACTGAAAAACAATTAATATCAATATTAATTATGAATGTAAATTGATTAAGTGTTCCATTAAAAGATACAGATTGGCAGAACAGATCTAAAAAAAATCATCCAACTATATGCTGCATACAAGAAAATCACCTTACGTGTAAAGACATAGACTGAAATTAAAGGGTAAAAAAGATATTCCATGCAAATGGTAAGCAAAATCAAGCAGGATAGTACTTATACCACATAAAACAGACTTTAAATCAAAAACATTAATATAAAAAGGTAGTTATTTAATGATAAGAGGATCAGTTCAGCAAAAGATATAATAGTCCTAAATATGTATACACCCAACGCTGGAGCACCCAAGTTCACAAAACAAATATTACTAGACCTAAAGAGAGAGAGATAGGCAACAATATAATAATAGTGGGAAACTTCAGCACCCCACCCGCAACACTAGATGGATCATTGAGACAGAAAATTAGCAAAGAAACATTGGACTTCAATTGGACTTTAGACGAAATGGACTTAACAGATATTTACAAAACATTCTGCCAAACAAATACAGAATACACAGTGTTGTTTTTTTTTTTTTGTTTTTTTTTTTTTTTTTTTTTTTTTGAGACAGAGTCTCACTCTGTCACCAGGCTGGAGTGCAGTGGCTGGCACAATCTCGGCTCAGTGCAACTTTGATCTCCCAGGTTCGAGCGATTCTCCTGCCTCAGCCTCCCAAGTAGCTGGGACTACAGGTGTGCACCACCACACTCAGCTAATTTTTTATTTTTAGTAGAGACGGGGTTTCACCATGTTGTCAGGATGGTCCGGATCTCCTAACCTTGTGATCCGCCCGCCTCAGCCTCCCAAAGTGCTGGGATTACAAGCGTGAGCTACCGTGCCTGGCCAATACACAGTCTTTTTATCAGCACTTGGAACATTCTCCAAGATAGACCACATGTTAGGCCACAAAAAAAGTCTTAATAAAATTAAAAAAAATCAAAATTATATGAAGTATTTTATCAGACTACAGTGGAATAAAACTAGAAATCAATACTAAGGGAAATTTTCACAATTATACAAATACTTGGAAATTAAACAGCATGCTCCTGAACTATCACTCAGTAGATTAATATGGAAATTTTAAAAAATTAAAAATGAAAACAACATATGAAAACCTGTGAGATACAACAAGAGCAGCGTTAACAGAAAAGTCTACAGCATTAAATGCCTACATCAAAACATCTTAAAGACCACAAATTAACCTAAAGTGATGACTCAAGGAATTGAAAAAACAAGAAAAAACCAAACCTAAAGTTAGCAGAAGAAAAGAAATAACAAAAATCAGAATAGCACTAAATGAAATACAGACCAAAAAAAAGATAATACAAAAGATCAATGAAACCAAAAGTTGGTTCTTCAAAAAGACAAACAAAATTGATAAACCACTAGATACAATCAGCAATGTAAAAAGAGACATTACAATAGATATTACAGAAATACAAAAGATCGATGATTATGAACAACTACATGCTCACAAACAAGGAAACCTAGAAGAAATGGATAAATTCCCGCAAACACACAACCTCCTGCGAATAAACCAGAAAGAAATAGGACTCCTGAAGAGACCAATAATAATTAGCAAGGTTGAATTAGTAATAAAAGAATCTCCCAACACACACACACAAATCCAGGACCAGATGAAATTCACAGCTTAATTCCACCAACCATACAAAGAACTAACACTAATATTCTCAAAACTGTATTTTTTAAATCAAGGAAGAAGGAATTCTCCCAACTGAATCTGAGGCCAGTATTACCCTGATACTAAAACCAGAGAAGGATACACCCCCACAGAGAAAAAAAAAAAAAACAACTAGAGACCAATATCCCTGATAAACGTAGATGCAAAAATTCTCAACAAAATACTAGCAAATCAAATCCATCAGCACATAAAATAATGCATCATGGTCAGGTGGGAATTATCCCAGGGATGCAAGCATGTTTTGACATATGTGAATAAATGTGATATATCACATAAAGATAAAAATCATATAATCATCTAAATAGATGCAGAAAAAGTATTCTATAAAATTTGGCATCCCTCCTGATAAAAATCCTCAGCAAACTAGGTATAGAAGGAACATACTTTAACATAGTAGAGGATCAATATATGACCAACTGTCAGCAAACATCATACCTATTGGAAAAAAGTTGAATGAGAACTGGAACAAGACAAGTATGTCGACTTTCTCTACTCTTATTACTGGAAGACCTTGCCAGAGAAATTGGGCAAGAGAAGAAAATAAAATGCATCCAAAATGGAAAAGAAGAAGTGAAATTACCCCTGTTCACTGACTATATGATCTTATATCTAGAAAAACCACTTCAGTAAAGTTCAGTAAAGTTTCAGGATTAAAAAAAAAATTAAGGAACAGAAATCAGTAACATGTATACACACAAATAATGATCCAGCTGAAGACCAAATCAAGAAGGCGGTCCCATTTACAATAGCTACAAAAAGGCAAAATACCTAGGAATAAGTTTAACCAAGGAAGTGAAAGATCCCTATAAGGAGAATTATAAATCACTAATGAAGAAAACCATAGATGGCACAAACAAATGGAAAAATATCCCATGATCATAGATCAGAAGAATCAATATTGGTAAAATGACCACATTGCCCAATGCAATCTACAGATTCAATGCAATCCCTATAAAATTACTAATGTTGCATTTCACAGATTTAGAAAAAAAATCCTAAAATTCATATGGAACCAAATATGATTTCTTGCTCCTGAATAGCAAAAGAAATCCTAAGCAAAAAGAACAAAGCTGGAGTCTGTACATTACCTGACTTCAAATTATACTACAAGGCTATAGTAATCAAAACAGTAGGGCACTTGTACAAGAAACATACATAGATCAATGAAACAGAACAGAGATCCCAGAAACAAAATCCACATACCTGCAACCAAGTGATCTTTGACAAAGTCATAAAAAATATGCACTGGGAAAAGGATACCTTGTTCAACAGATGGTGCTGTAAAAATTGGGAAGTCATATGCTATATGCAGAATGATCAAACTAGACCCATACTTCTCATTATATGCAAAAATTAACCCCAAACAACCTAAATGTAAGACTTGAAACTGTAAAATTTCTAGAAGAAAATCTAGGAAAATCTCCTGGACATTGGCCTAGGCAAAGAGTATTACCAAATCCTCAAATGCAAATGTAACAAAAACAAAAATAGATGAATGGAGCTTAAAGAGATTAAACACAGTAAAAAAGAATCAACAGAGTAAACAGACAACTCACAGAATTGGAAAAAATATTTGCAAATTATATATCCATAAAAGGTCTAATAACTAGATTCTACAAGGAACTCAACAAGCAAAAAAACAAATAACCCCAGTAAAAAGTAGGCACTGTCCACCACTTCAGACATAAAAGTGGCCAACATGAAAAAATACTCAACATCACTAATTATTGAAGAAATGCAAATTAAGACTACAAAGATAAACTGTCTCACATAAGTCAGAAGAACTATTATCTTAAAAGTCAGAAAATAAGAGTTGGTGAGGTTGAAGAGAAAAGGGAAGGATTATATACTGTGGGTAGTAATGTAAATTAGTACAACTTCATGAAAAACACTATGAAGATTTCTCCAAAAACTTAAAATTGAACTATAATTTGACCCAGCAATCCCACTACTGGGTATATACCCAAAGGGGAAAAAAATCATTATATCGAAAAGATATCTGCACTTACATGTTTATCACACCACTATTCACAATAGCAAAGATATAGAATCAACCTAAATGTCCATTGGACAGATGATTGGATATATCACATTTTCTCATATATACACACATACCCCCAACACACACACCATGGAATACTACTCTGCCATAAAACATAAAATAATGTATTTTGTAGCAACATGATGAAACTGGAGGCCATTATCATAAGTGAAATAACAAAGTCAAATACCGTGTGTTCTTACTTATAAGTTGGAGATGGTAATGGGTACACATGAACATACAGAATAGAGTAATATACATTTGAGACTATAAAAGGTGGGATTGGAGGACAGGGATAAGGATTGAAAATTACCTGTTCAGTACAATGTTCACTATTTGGGTGATGAGTACACTAAAAGCCCACCACTACCCATTTATATGCTTATGAAAAATCTGCACTTGTACCCCCTAAATATAGACAAATTTAAAAATTTAAAAAACTGAAAAGTCTTAAAAGGCAAAAGAGTATTAAATCATATCATTATAAAATTAAAAAATACAGACATGAAAAAAGCCCTATATATTACTATAGATTCAATGATACTAGATAGATCTAGACAGATTGACTGACAGATTAAAAAATGCATAACAACACATTGAATAGTCTTCTATTGGGGCAAAAAAAATGGAAGAGAGAGCTAAACAAGAAAAATAAGACATTTAAGACGTAATGAAGATGTATGTCATAAACTGAAGGGTATGATTAATTCAATCTTTGCACAGTCCTCCACACAGGATGAAATTGAAAATAACATACTCAATAGGATGTATCTGAATGTGACATACATGTGATATTTGTTTGTAATTTTGGATGATTTTCCTTGAGGTATTTATGATCTAGTAGTTTTTGCATGCAAACTTCTACTATAAAGAAAAGTACATCGCTAACAAGAGGCCAACTTATCTTAAATGGGCATTGGCAAGGTAAAATTTCAGAAGGAGAAGGGAGCCAAATCAAGCAAGTGTTTTAAATTTATGTTGAAGATATTGGCCTTTATTCTAACAACTCTGGACAGTATTCGCATGATCGTATTTAAATTTTAGTGGATGCAAAGGTAAGAGTGAGAAGGCAGTAGCTCAGCTGAGAGATGAATGTGGATTTGATAAGGGTGAAGGCTGTGGAGAGAGAGTAAAGTGGATGGATTCCAAAAATATTTTTAAGGTTTCTTTCACCCTGCCCTACGATCATCAACTTCCTACAGAGAATATTTAGACATTAATGTTCACAAGGTAATAATTATTATACCTTTAACAGAACATAGCCCAGGAATCACTTCCCTGTTCTTGGAACTACAGCTGGTGGCATTGAGAACATCAACTTTCTAACAAAACCTCTAAGCTTCATTAGCATGGTGTAAATTGAACACCTTGGTATTGCCATAGTCCGGTGTCACATCTTTAAGAGTTAGGTAAGGAAAGAGTATAAGTAGTTAGTTTCAATTTAAATGATTATGACTTAATTTATAAAGAAATTAGTGCTACGAGATTTTTAGACATTAACAGTATATCATTATGTGGCAGAGTCACACAACATAAAACCTGTAATACAGAAAGCCATGAATTTTTTATTTAAGTACTTGGACCCCTTTATGCTGAGAACAACGGGGAAGCAAAACTCAGAAACGTTGAATCAACCACTTTATACGTTCAAACAACCCTAATGAATTTCTATAATGGGCATTTTTTTATACACTAAATTATAGGAAGTCATATAAACCAGTGCTATTAAATGATCTGGTTCATCTACCTGGGAAATTGCTCTGGGTCTGTTATTTAAATCTTCTGGACCTCTTATTCCAGATTTCTTTTTCCTTCAAAATATAATTAAGTGCACTAAATCAAATGTTACAAACTGTAGATACTTTCCTACAAACAAAATATAGTATGGGGGGGACAAAACCCTTACTCTAAATCTTCATCAATCAAAACCCTTCAGCTAATGTTGGCAATGAAAATCTCCACATAAGGAAATGTGGAATCATACTTGTTGCCAAGGTTCAATTTGGGGATTGTGAGGGTCAGGATTATGTGTCAACTTGTCTAAACTGTAGTCCCACTATTCAAGCAAACACTAATCTAGGTGTTGATGTAAAGGTATTTGTGGATATGATTCAAATCCATAGTTAATTGACTCTAAGAATATTATACTAAATAATCTCGGTAGACCTAATTCAATCAATTGAAATACGCTAAGAGCAGAACCAAGGCTTTTATGAGGATTAGATTCTGAGGATAGACAGCATGTCAAGCCCTTGCTTTAGAGTTCTAGCCTGCCCTGACAGTCTTCTCTACAATTTCAGTTGGTCTACAAATAAATACAAGTTGCCTTGCCAGCCTTCACAAATGTAAGCCAGTTTTTTTTAATAAATCTCTTAACATGTATATTTTTTACTGGTTCTGTTTCAGTGGTTGAACCCTAGCTGACATAAGGATACTTTGTAAGTATCAGCTACTATCCTGCTGGTTTAAGGAGAAAGTTTGCAAGCCACTTAACACTCTGACTTGTTTAGGAAAGCATTAGCCTCCCTTTTCTGTACCACTCCAGTGAGGCAAGTATCTGGGACATAGGGATGGTGGAAAGAGTATAAGAATTACTTTAAAAGTTACTAAACTAAGATGCAATCCTAGATTCTGATAATATCTGACCTAACTCCCCTTCCTCCACATTTTGAGGGTATCAATTTCTGGTGTTGTTTTCCACTCCTACTATATGATTAAGTTATCCTCCAGATATTTTTAGGTAGACAATGTGGTAGCTACTGCATTATCCTCATGGGTAGGAAGTGGGGAAGACCTCAGATGGAAAATGAAAACAGCTTTGAAAGAATCAGAAATAACAACGAAAAAGCTTGCAGAAAGAAACTTAATATACCATGTCCTCTAGTGTACAGGTATATTTCATTCATCTAGTTTATTCATCTAGAACATGTGGTCCTCTGTAAGGCAGACACCCTTCCAAGTTACCAATTTGTCCTCTCCTGTGAACAAGTCCTTCTTTCCCCTGATTTCCAGTACTTTCTACACCATTTTATTCTTCAACAACCAAGCCTAAAGTACAGTGAAAGACAGGAATTTCTTCTCAGTTTCAGGATTTTGTCTGAGGCCCTACACCTTTCCTCAATGAATGGTACATGAAATACCAAGCCCTGGACTGAGGATTCTCCAAGACAATCTTACCTCAGAAAAACACAGCAATAATAAATATCACCCAAGAGATATACAAAGTGGCTACTAGGAAGTCTAGAGTAAAGTGGCTGTACACTGTAATAGGGAACACCTTTGTGTATTCTAGAAAAATAGGTCTGGCTGCTGTTCTCCATTTCAACAGTAATGTTTCCTATAGCAATCTACCTTCCCCAGTCCATATCTTGTGACTACCTGCTGTCTACACAGGTCAAACCAGAAATTTAAATAGAATAAGCATCATCTGCCTACAACTTTCAATTTGTGGTAACATTAGTATCTGCCACTCAACCAGTATAGCGTGGTGTTCTTTATTGTTTTTCTAGGTACAGAGAGCTCCAGGGGCTTCCTCTTGGCTCTTCCTACTACAACAGGTATTACCCCATAGGTAGTGGAGGGAGAACAATGGAGATTCTGCATGATGTTGAGATATCAATTCCAAACATATACCCAGATATTGAGATAATAAACATGGTGCTGATTTGAGCAGACACTTCAAAAACCGTACAAATATTTGGAAACACTGTTGTTTTGGCTGACTCCATAGACATCCATAATACTAAAATTCTGCAGTAGCATTCTGGGTTCCAAGATGGAGAAAATAAATTAGAAAAATTCCTAAAATGAGCCTAATTTAGAGCACAGTTACCTTGGTAAATAGTGATAATGCTCTCTGAAGTGAGCTGTGAGGAAGACTCACTGAATGTATTTATGATGTTATTACTGGTTCTATAATATTCAACATTCCTTTTTGTAGAGAATAAGAATGTGGGATTTTGGTGTGATGCAACTTTTTATTATGGTGAGTCAAAGCAGTCCAATTTTGTTTAGGGGACACGTGTCATACAAATGAGGTAAAATTTCAGTCAACTTCTTAACTACTATGGTCCTTGAGATGTTCACTACGGACGAAACTATTCTGGTGTCTCTGTGGGACCTGCCATACATGCAGACAATTATGCCACTTTACATTTGCTAACTGAAGGGACTTCCCTTATGTCTGAAACAACAGAATCCTCCCATTGCTAATGAAATCAGATCTGAAGCATCTCTAACCAGAATTTACAGTGTACAGAGAAAAGTGACCAAGACATTTTCAAAGCGTCTCAAGACTCTTTCACCACTGTATTTCTCAAAGAAAACTATCTTCTAGCTACTCTCAGGGAAAAAAATATGGGATATATACAGGTTGATCACCTGTAAAACACATTGTGTAAACATTCCTATTACCAAACATTTGATTGATTTCAAAGTTTGATCCTCTAACCACATAATTCTATGAAATGCTCATTAAAATGCCTATTTCTAAACCTCAGTCTGTTCTTAATAAATTAGATTTTCCATAATAGATTCTGAGAATATCTATTAACAAAGATATTCTGAAGAACACTAAAATTTGTGAAATCACTGCTAATTTTACTGAAATGTTTCTGGCATTTATCTTTAGTTAGCATAGTTTCTTTACATCTAAACTACAATCCAATTAAATGAATAGTTAGAATTACTCCTTGAACATAATAGCAAATTATCTCAATCTAAAATTAAATTATTTTGCAATAAAAATAAATCGGTATCAATTTCTAGATATTTCTCTGATATCTGCTGATATAAATTGGAAAGGTCCTGCAATTATTTTAATGTATAAGAATTCTCTGCAAGAGTTTGACTTTGTGACTGGAAATATAAAGCATGTTGAGTCCCAAGTAATTTAGGAGAAATGAGGACTTGAGGTCTGTAACATGAGAAAAAATCCACTCTCTTTTGTAAGAAACTTGCTAAAATAAAGAAATTATAGCATCTGCCAGAAAGGAGGTAAGAATCTGATGTGATAGGAGAGAAGGTACTGCTTCATCCAATAACGGATGCTCATACTGGTTAGAAAGGGAACTGAAAGTCCTTGAAATCTTTCTTTCTGTCATAATTATCAATGATCTACTCATTTATCGTCAGTGTCATATTTTCACTTTAAATATCTGTGAATTTATGAATCAGACATTAAAATTTGAAATTTTACAGAATTAACATGTATTTTCAATGTAATAACCAGGTAAGAGCTTTTTTTTCTTATATTTTTCTTGTACAGTCATAGAAAATCCTTCAGTTTTAGTCTCTGCTATAAATTGAGAATTTAGGCTCTTGTATTTGTCATTTTATCTAACTTGTTTAATGCTATTAAAAACAGGATTCTACTGCATAGCTTTTGTACTCTTCATGCCCTCATTCTGTTCTAAGGTCAAAAGTAACTTAAACCCTGAAAGTGATACCTTCATCAGGCATTTTATTCCAGCTGAGTAGAGGTGACAGCTCAATTAGATATTTCATTCCTACATGCCATGGGATGTCAGATATGCTTGTCCCTGCTCTATCACAATTTTTAATTGATTCATGCTCAAATGAGGCCAGTTAACCCTAAATCTTCCTTACTCACCGATAATGGTTTGGCTGTGTCCCCACCCAAATCTCATGTCTTGGTTTTACCACTAATAATTTCTGTCAATTTCAAATTGAATAAGGTTACCTTATCTGTGAGTAAACTGTTGACTCATTAGAAGATACAAATAATTAGTGACAATAGTTTTTACCTTCATGGAGTTTGGCATCTAAACACTCTGGAAAAATCCTATAACCGTCCTAGAATCTGACTTTATTACCTACTAATTTAGGCGGTTTAATTATTTTGTAAACTACTATCTCACCCTTTTTCTCCAGGCCACTGGCAGTGAAGTTGAGGAACTAAGGATGGAAGAGGAAAGAGTTATTAATATTTGTTTTTTCTTCCATAAAAATGTAGGAATAACAAAATCAGCAGAGCAAGCCAAAATCCAGGTAGGAAGGTAAAAACTATTAAGTCAAATGTAGAAGAGTGAAATTGTTGTTAAAATTTAAAGCAGATTTCGAAGCAAGAATTGAATCCAAAATTTGAAAGGGAGGGAGGTCAGAATCATTGAAATGCACTGGGTGAAAACAGGGAACGCTCCAGGGCAATTTTCTAAACAGGTGTTGTATACTTGGCCTTTACATAGTGTATGGATAAACTAGCCAAAAGTAAATGGCTTGAGACAAGAAAAAATAAAGATTATTTTCTGCTTAAAACATAAAAATCGAAAAAATATTGTTTCTGCCTCTAAAATTTTTGCACTCATATGTATCTTTGAAACACTGTTGACACAGGCAAAGCTCTTGGTTAAAATTTATCATCACTACCATCATCACTTTTCTTTAAACCATAGCAGAAATCTCAGCTTGAACCTCTGCTGGGCTGGGCTGGCAAGCTGGCTGAATGAACTGGCCAGAAGTTTATTTTCATGCAATATCAGTGGGTTTTCTGAGAATAAAATCAATCAGAGAAAATAAAGTCTCAATAAGTTTGACCAAGGAATAAAGGTCTATCCTCCAGGTGAAGCTAAAAACAGCCTGATGATTCTCAAGAGATTTATCTGACAAAATGCAGAAAAGTAGGAATACAGAAGCAGAAATAAAGTGAAAATAAAAATCAAACTAAAGTTTTCCAAAACTTTAATATTTATTGTGGAACAAGCAGTACTTATTGATCAGCTCTCTAACTGAAGTGGAAGAAATTATGAGAAAGGAATTTTTGCCTACCTCATACTGGAACACAGTACAACTTTAACATTTTGAAAGTTTCATGGCCTATGGTGTAGCAAGAGAAGAGGTGACAGGAGGACATGGAGATTTCCAGTGGGTCTGCAGAGGAAGGTAGGGAAGCAGCAGCTGCAACCTGCAAGACATAAGATGCCTCCATGTACATGGAAGACACCCTCCAAGGCCTTCATAAATATTTGACATTCTACAAGAGCCACATAGGGAAATAACCAGTGGGATTTGCATTTTTATAGTTACTGTAGCTTCATTTTTACCCATGACTACTTTACATGATCTCTAAAATTATTAGAATTTTAAATATCCAGGAAACAAGGCATTGTGATTTTTTTTGTGTGTGTGTGTGAATGGGCATGTTTTCAAATAAGGAGTGACTTACGAGAAGTTGAGAGTAGCGTGCTAAATGTGTACCATCAATTGGCATACTTAAAACTCACAAAATACTTGATGCTAATTACAAGTCATGCTTTAATCAATATTAGATTTCTAAAAAATTCCAGATTCAAAATAAATTTTAAAAGGGATTCCAAAATTAAATATTGAGTGACCTTTATTCAACAATTGTCAGTAGCATTTTTCTCAGGTAACCATTAAACTAAAAATACCAATTGATTCTAGGTCACATTTTTTATTTTAGGAATTCTCATCGGTGTCTTGATAAGAGTCTTTACGTTCTCTTGCCCTTATTCTGCCATTTCCCTTTCACTCTATTCTTTCTCTGAAATTAAACACTTTTTCACTGCTGCTTAACTCCTCATACTACTTGCTGGACTCCAGACCTTTTTAACTAATGCTAATTCCACTTTTCTGTTTTTTCCCCTCTTGACCTCATTCTCCTTCACCTACTTTCATAAACCTCACTCTTCTTTCTCCTTTCTATCCTGTTCTTTTTACCCTATATGAGTATACCTGTGTCTTTCCTAATTCCTAAGTAATATACCAAAATACTCATATTTTCTGTTTCAACTAGAGTGTTTACTCATAAAACTGGGTATAAAGATACTTAGGTAAAGCCTTTTACAGGTGAGAGAAATTATAATTAATAATTACACAGGATCAAGGTTCTACAGTTCATTTTTCCTTTAATATTATGGTTTCATATCAGTATTTAAATGAATAAATGGTAAATGAATAAAAGTTCTCTAAACATTTAGGTTTCTATTTCTGTTCTTGTATGTTACTAAACTTTTTTGAAGTAAAATCTCATTATGACTGGTATCTACTTCCCTCAAAAAGGAGAATATTTTGATATTTCATATGAGTGGACATCACTGGCTCATCCCGCTAGTTTGTGATGCATGTTAAACAAACACAATTCTGATGCCCACTTCTGTGGGTTGTTGCAAGCATTGAAGTGGATACTATTAAGTCCATATTACAGTTCCTGGCACACAGCCAACATAAACACATAACTTTTCTTCCATAATACTGGTCAAAGTTTTTAAATTATTTTAAAATGTAAAACTGACGCTTGGAGAGGTTAGAAACTTAGAAAGGCTTGCTCGCAGCCAAAAAACTACTAAAAGCAGAAATGCCATTTACAACCAGATGTATCCAACCCCACAGCCAGTGTTCTTGACTATTATAGACCTGCACTGATTTATCCACTCAATATTTTCTTTCCTCTGGGCTGCACTCTGGTTTTACTTGTCCTTCTAATGACTGGGAGAACTCTCAAGTGATATAGAAACAGAGAAAAGATGAATCAATAGAATCACTTGCCCTAGTTTGATTCCGCTTATAAGTCATTTATTGTTGCTAATTAAATATTCACTTTGTACAATGGTAGAAAAATGGGTGTACTTGAGTGATTCATTTTTCTTCAGTTATGGGGTTGAAATTGGGGTGATGGCATAACTAGAGCTCTCTTTAGAGGTTACAGTGTATGACTAGCATTTGGCGTATGGAAAGTATGTATTAATATCTTCATTTTTAGATGAAGGTTGATCATATGCATAAAGTATTATGAGTAGACTAATTCTCAATAATTCTGTTTGGAAAGAACATCATGAGCCTTGAATATAAAGCTGAGGAATTTGAACTTTATAACATAATCCAAAAAAGTGCTGCCAGGTGCAGTGGCTCACATCTCTAATCCAAGCACTTTGGGAGGCCAAGGCAGGCAGATCGCTTGAGACCAGGAGTTTGAGACCAGCCTGGGAAACATGGTGAAACCCTGTCTCTACAAAAAGTACAAAAATTATCAGGGCATGGTGGCTGAGGTGGGAGGATGGCTTGAGCCCGGGAGGCGGAGACTGCCATGAGCTGAGATTGCACCACTGCACTCCAGCCTGAGCAACAGAGCCAGACCCTGTCTAAAACTAGTGATTAAAATTTCTGGTGGGTCAGAAAATTACTCTTGATACAAGTTACCTTACTAAATGAAAATGAATTTGAAAGGCCCCTAAACTGTTTTTAATCTATACCCTTTTTGTATAAAACTGATCTCTGCCAAGAGGCTCAATATTAATGAAATATATATGAGATTCGAAAGTCTGATTTCTAACTCAGTATTAGTATTTGGAAAATTGAGAGGAGAAGTTGGCAAGGTAATGATATTTTTCATCAACATCCTTATAAGTTTCTGTAGGCTAAGATAAATCAAAAGGTATGTTATTTCTCTAAAACCAATTGTGTTCTCAAATTCATCTAGATTGACTCACTGTCATAGTTTTTCACCAAAAATGAAAATCCTTCCTTTTCTAGAGCAGAGATTGTGTTAATTTGCTTTGTGTTACTTATTCATCCATAGACCTACTCTCTGAATTTTTGCCACCCAATAATAGGTGGACAGAATGCTGCTTTTATAGTCATTTTCTCTCAGATAATATGTTTTGTACTTGATTAGCAGATCTATACTTGACAGAGGAGAGGATAGAGAGAAGAAATGCAAATCTAGCCCATTATTAATAGCTAGTATTGGCAGCTATTAAAGTACTTATGATACTCTTTAAATGTTGCACCCAAATGGCTACATATTACATATATAGAGAAGCAGAGTCCAAGGATTAGGAGTCAAAACCTGACTTTGTCAGTTGATAACTATTCCCAAGTACCCAGTATGCAAAAAAGTCCTGTATATGCTATGATAATTTTCAAATTAGCAAACAAGTCACATGAGGACATTGTGCAATGGAAGGGAAATGGCAAAAACACAAATGCTAAAAGAAAATCAATGGCTGAAAGCTCTAAACACATGATATATTCCCATGTTTATGTCTCGTCCCTTCTCTCTTGCAATCTGCTTTCATTCATGCTGTAATATGTAAAATTTCGTCTTTATATACTGTATTGGTCAGGGTTCTCTAGAGGGATAGGACTCATAGGATAGATGTACATATGAAGGGGCATTTATTAAGGAGTCACAAGCACAAGGTGAAGTCCCACAATAGGCCATCTGTAAGCTGAGGAGCAAGGAAGCCAGTCCCAATACCAAAACCTCAAAGACAGGGAAGTTTACATTGCAGCCTCCAGTCTGTGGCCGAAGGCCCGAGAGCCCCTGGGAAACCACTGCTTTAAGTCCAAGAGTCCAAAAGCTGAAGTACTTGGAGTCCAATATTCAAGTGCAGGAAGTATCCAGCATGAGAGAAAGATGAAGGCTGGAAGACTCAGCCAGTCTAGTCCTTCCACATTCCTCTGCCTGTTTTTATCCTAGCCATGTTAAATTTCCTCTTTCTGTACTGTATTAGTCAGGTGGTAGCTGATTAGTTGGTGCCCACCCAGATTGAGGGTGGGTCTTCCTCTCCCAGTCCACTGACTCAAATATTAATCTCCTTTGGCAATACCCTTACAGACACCCAGGAACAATACTTTGCATCCTTCAATCCAAGTAAGTTGATATTATATATTAACCATCACATATGCCCTCCACACTTCCACAACACTGCATATGTTTATGACTTATGACTATAAATAATTTAATCTTTTATTCATACTCTCTAACCCAGGCAGAATAAGTCTCCCGATAGAAACTCTCTCATTATCCTTATCTTGACTGTAGTTGCTCCTCTGTCTTAATTCCATTGCTTCCCTATTTAACTCTAGCAAAACTCTTGTCATACAGATTCAAAACTGTTATTCCTTCCCATTATACCACAAACTCAAATGAGTTTGGGACCAAAATATTTCATAGTTCAGCTGCTAGCATAGTTTCTGGCATGGAATATGAGCTTAAGTACTTTAATATGTTGAATTTGGAAAAAATATGGAACTGACAGTCAAAATGCAAAAGCCTAAGCTCCACAAGTAATCTTAAGACAAACAAGTCACATACCCAGTCCAAATCTGTGAGAATCACATCTAGTATACAGATTTATAGTATTATGTAACATACAAGAAAGTGCTTTGTTAACTGTAAAATAACAGGGTATTTTAATTATTATTAATTTAACTTCAAATCTAATGAAAAGATTATTTGAATTGATGCTTTATTGATTGTACAACAGAAATTGAATGGACACCCTAAGTTAGAAATTAAGTAAAATAATAAACTCTTTTTTTTTTTTTTTTTTTTTTTTTTTTTTTTTTTTTGAGACGGAGTCTCGCTCTGTCGCCCAGGCTGGAGTGCAGTGGCGGGATCTCGGCTCACTGCAAGCTCCTCCTCCCGGGTTCACGCCATTCTCCTGCCTCAGCCTCCCAAGTAGCTGGGACTACAGGCGCCCGCCACTACGCCCGGCTAATTTTTTGTATTTTTAGTAGAGACGGGGTTTCACCGTTTTAGCCGGGATGGTCTCGATCTCCTGACCTCGTGATCCGCCCGCCTCGGCCTCCCAAAGTGCTGGGATTACAGGCGTGAGCCACCGCGCCCGGCCAATAATAAACTCTTAAAATGAAAGTAGATAGAAAAACAAAAATAGAGATCTCAGTGATTTTGTTTCAGAAACTTACACTAGAAAAAATAAAGTTTCAGAGAACTCTTAGGAAAACTCAAGAAGTAAATCACAGTAAAAAAAAAAAAAAACCATATTTGTCGAGACTACTCTGAGGTTTTAAAAGTTTAAGAGAGAAAAGGCTGCTAAATTTGGTCAGAAGAAATTCATTATCATAGATACACTTAATAAGATCTGTTTAAGAGCTGCCATTTTACATTGAAATAGCATTTAATTTACATCAGCCACCAAGCAACTGGCCAATCCTTTTAATGGATTGATTTGAACTAAAGTCTCTAAGAAACAAGAATTCTTAATAATACCTTATAAATGTGACAGTTTCAGATAGTGTAGAATGAGATCCATACCTCCTGGTCTTTGCCATTTTCCATCTCATTACTTTGGTTCCGTTACAAGATTCTATTTTAAGCTCAGCTACTCAATTGTATACACTTTACAGTCTGTTTTCTCAATCTATTTTGACCACATAAGGCAAAAATCACAGCTATCCAATTAATTCCCCTAATTAATAAACTTTATTTTCCCTTCAGCTGCTGATGGCATGCCCCATGCTGTTCATCTAACTATCTGTCTTAAGCCTTCCCTCCGACCTACTTGCATGGATCCTTGATGATTTGGGGCAACATGCCAAGATTTTCACAGCTTTGACAAACACATTAAAAACCCATTAAAACCCCTTCTGCAAATCTGTCCATATATACCACTGTGTCGCAGTTGCATCTCTGCTTCACTTCTTATCCATACCTTTATTGCTTCTCAATTGAATTACTCAGTTCACTTTTGTAATAGCTTGTCAGGGTTCATATTTTCACATTCCATGATGTACGACGTGAAGCTGATCTCAGAAGCTAGCACGCCCACACCTGTACACACAACAGCCATTCCCTCTTCCTCTGGCGATTCTATTCACTATCTCTTCACTAAAGGATTTGTTCCTAACATATATTTTCTTGTTTTTAAACTTAAGAGGGACTTCTTGTTTTCCTGATGCAAATCTGTAATCTATAATTGCCTCTCATTCAATCCCAGCCCTCCACTAATTACTTTGATATTGGTAAATGGAATGTCTCCCCTGAACTCCTGTTGTCTGGAATAGTCTTTCTTATTATTCTCCATCTCATTAGCTCTCTGTTTCCAAGCTCAACTGAAAGCAGAATATTTTTCTAATATCTGGCTTTCATTTTCTCATTCTCTCCTTCACTTTTATACAATTACAGAGGTAAATATCATCCATCCACTGAAAACAGTCATTTAATGTGAATCTCAAAAGACTAATAATAACACATGCATCATAGATCAAAGTGGTAAATATTGTCTGTCTCCATATTAGACTGGCTCCAAAAGATCATTATTTCAAATGGAATTGTTACTGCTTGGTTTGGAAATATTCGACGTGCACAAATATTTAAGAACTTTCTTATATGAAAAGTATCTCTATCTTTAATTTCTGTATCTATGACATGGTTAGCATAGCTGAAATTTCACATCAGGCAACTTTAAGCATTAAAATAAAGTATATTCATTGCCAAGATCATAGTTCAGCATATGGCAAATGCAGGATAATATTATAATTCCCTGGACTTTAATACTGTGTTGATACTTACATCTTTTCAATTTATAAGACAGAAGGCATATATGTATATGTGTGTATATATATGCTACAATTAAATAGTGGTGAAATACAGTATAGTTATTCCTCATATCTGTGAGGGATTGGATTCAGGTCCCTCCTTCCTATCCCTCAGCCCCTGCAGATACCCAAATTGCAGAGGCTCAAGTCTTATAGTCAAGTACTACATTCAAAGTCCATAGTAGTTGCATATAACCTAGGTAATCCTCCTGTATCCTCTAAATCATCTCTAGATTACTTACAAAATCTAATGCAATGCCTGTACATAACTTTATTCATGTGGATTCAACATATTGCTCCATGTGTAGCAAATTCAAGTTTTGCTTTTTGGAACTTTGTGGAATTTTTTTCTGAATATTTTCGATGTATTGTTGGTTGCATCCACAGATGTGGAATCCATGGATGTAAAAGCCTGACTTTATAGAGGAAAACACATTCCTACAACTGTAATATTATTGGGCACTCATTTGGCAACCAACTCTTTGCACAATACTTTAAAATACATTATCTCATGTTGTCCATGATGTAGTTGCTACTGTCACTCTCATTTTCCTAAAAGAGAAAGGTTTTGAAAGTCGAAGCAGCTTGCCCAAATTTGTACTGTCAATGAGACCCAGCTTGATATTCAAACTTATGTCTTCTGACTTTATATTCTAAGTTCTTATTGCAAATTCATCTAATAAAGCTTCATGAGATAATTTTAACTTGGATTAATAGAATTATGACACATAGAGATAGTCAAATGTCCTTCTAAAATTAAGGAGCAAAATGAGTGTCTTTTTAAAGGAGAAGGGAGAGTCCAAAGATATGCATCACAAGGCTTCAAAGAGAAGGTTCATTACATTTCTCAGAAATAGTACAATTCTCAACAAAAATAAACAATGGGGAAAGGACATCATATTTAATAAGTGGTATTGAGAAAACTGGATAGCCATATGAAGAAAAATGAAACTGGACCCCTACCTCTCACCTTATACAAAAATTAACTCAAGATAGATTCAAGACTTCAAGTTAAGACCCGACACTTTACAAATCATAGAAGAAAACCTAGGAAAAACTCTTCTGGACATTGGCCTAGAAAGAAAATTTATGATTAAAACTTCAAAAGCAAATGCAACAGAAACAAAATTAGACAAATGTGAGTTAACTAAACTACAGAGCTTGTGCATAGTGAAAGAAACAGAGTAAACAGGCAACCACGCAGAATGGGAGAAAATAATTGCAAACTTTGCATCTGACAAAGGTCTAATACCCAGAATCTATAAGGAACTTAATTCGACAAGAATAAAACAAACTGGTCAATGGACAATTAAAAAGTGGCCAACAGACATGAATGGATACTTCTCAAAAGACGAAGGGGAACTTCACACACTGGGGCCTGTCATGGGGTGGGGGGAGCAGGGAGAGATAGCATTAGGAGATATACCTAATGTAAATGACGAGTTAATGGGTGCAGCACACCAACATGGTGCATGTATACATATGTAACAAACCTGCACGTTGTGCACATGTACCCTAGAACTTAAAGTATAATAAAAAAAAGAAGAGGTAAAATTAAAAAAAGACGACATTCAAGCAGCCAACAAACAATGCTTAATATCATTAATCAAATAAATACAAATTGAAATCACAATCATATATTTCACACCTTTCAGAATGGCTACTTTAAAAAAAAAAAAACAAAGGAAAGTACCAACAGATGGCAAAAATGAGAAAAGGGAATGCTTATACACTGCTGGAGGGAATGTAAATTAGTTCAACCCCTATGGAAAACAGCACAGAGATTTCTCACAAAACTAAAAATGTAACTACCATTCGACACAGCAATCCTACTACTGGGTATCACCCAAAGGAAAAAATATAAAAGCATTCTTTCAAAAAGTCATCTGCACCTATGATGTTTATCATAGCACTATTTATAATACAAAAATCATGGAAACAACCTAAGCCTCCAACGGTGGATTAAAGAAAATGTGTGTCTACACACACACACACACACACACACACACATAAATGGAATAGCATGCAACCATTAAAAGAAACGAAATCACATTATTTACAACCAAACGAATGCAGCTAGATATCATTATCTTAAGTGAAATAACACAAACAGAAAATCAAGCACTGCATATTCTCACTTACAAGTGGGAGCTCAACAATGAGTACCCATGGATATAAAGATAGAAACAATAGACAATGCGGACTCAAAAATGTGGAGGCAGGGAAGCAGGGAGAGGACAAAGGATTGAAAAACTATGTGTTGGGTACTAAGTTCACTATTTGGGCAATGTGTTTACTAGAAGCCCAAACCCTACCATTACTCAGTATACCCATGTATCAAACCTGAATATGTACCCCTGAAACTATAATCAACAAAAATTAGCTCAATTCCACAAAATATAGAGATGAAGGAACAATGAGAACGTATGGACACAGGGAGGGGAACATCACACACTGGGGCCCGTCAGGGGGTGAGGGACAAGGACAGGGAGAGCATTTGGACAAATACCTAATGCATGTGGGGCTTAAAACCTAGATGACGGGTTGATAGGTGCACCAAACCACTATGGCACATGTATACCTATGTAACAAACCTGCACGCTCTGCACATGTATCCCAGAACTTAAAATAAAAAATAAAACATTCCTACAAAAGGAAAATATGTAGTCCACTGTTTTTACAGAGAATATAAAAGTAAGGGACGTTTTAAACTGAAGTTCAACATACCATGCTTAGCACTATTTTGAGCACAACATAAACACAGGGTAAATGAAGTACAGTTGATTCATGACCGGATTAACAGATTGACAAAGAGAAAAAGTAGCTCTTTTGCTAGCAAAAATATTGGAAATGAGCTGGGGCACATAATTTACAATAATTCCAAATAAAATAAGTTTAAATATAGCATTTTATGGCTTATAAAATTTATAAACAGTGAGGAAATACACAGCCGTTTTAGTAATTATCTCCATTTCTGGAGGGGAAACTAAAGCTGAGAGTGACTTTCCTCAGTGAGTCAGTGACAGTCTGGGATGTGAGATCTGGTCATCTGATGCAAAGAGAAGCGTAACAGCAATACCATAATATGTGTGGAGATTACTATCTCTCACTGAGGGACATGCACTCATCATTTCCCTACAGCCAGTTCATGCTCCGCAAGGGCCTAGGCAGAACTATGCTCCACACAAAACTGTCTACCGTAAACTGATCCTTTGGAACAGAGATTTACCAGATCGCATCCTGAAACATTCCATATCATGCCCTCTTTTGCTCTTTTCTAACAACCTGAGAACCAGTTGGCTCACTGAGGATGAGAGATGTGCAATTACCTAGTTAATGTACGTTGTGCTGGCTCACATTCTCACACACAGCCTGAAGTACAAAACACATTCATAACTAGTGAGACTTGAAAAATCTCAGTAAGAAAAGACTTTCCATTGCTCCCTCCTCTTATCATGTGCCTTTTTTTTAGAGAAAGAATCTGGCTTTCGAGATTCTGTGGCTTACAATGCGAATAGCTATGAAGGAAAGATTATGAAAATGAGAAAATGTGGAAACAAAGCCTGGGAGAAGCAAACTGAGGCTAGAGCCAGGTCTTGTACTCCTGAATGTCACTCCCTGGCCCATTTCATTGTACTTTGCCCTTTTCATTTCAGTCCTAACCACTGATCTCAGGATACTCTGCATTGAATCAGGACATAGCAATTGCCCTTTATGAGACCCACATTCAGTTATTCAAGTCTTAATGTTCTGGACACCTTTAGGAGATCTTTTCATTATAGGCTCACAGTATCCAAGTAAGAGAATAAAGAATTTCTTCTATCTAAAATGCTGTGCTAAAGGTTTCAAAACTTCAGAGACCTGCAAACTGTGGCTTAAATAATACTAAGGGTAAGCTCTTACAGGCGTCTGAACCCTCGGTTCCACCTAGGGAAAGGGCTCCTTTGTGTGTAACTTTTCTGTTTTTCATGCCATTCCTGTTGAGACCTTTTCACTAAATCAATGCCTTTTCCCTTTGACTTTGATACAGACAGTGTCTTGTTATCTACACCTGAAGTCTCCAGATCTATTAATCACTTTAATTTGCTAACTAGGGTAGAAGACAGGATGAGCGGTTTGAGGGCTTCTGATTTGCAGTGGTTACCTAGGCTAAAACAAAACTTTTTAGTCTCTTTTTTTCAAACATTATTCCATTGTACTATAGAATATGCTCTAGGGAACAATCCTCTCCTGGCAGGCAATGAATGAGATGACCTTAATGGAGCTCTTTTCCATCTAATGTCTATGACTCTTTAATTCAGTTATCCTTCAGGCATGGGAAGAGCTTTCCATCATTACCCCTAATTTGTCTAACTATCGACATTACTTCAAAAAAAGCCTCCCAAGGTATGTTCCACTTTTCTGTCACGCTTGAACTTCTGTTTCATGTCACTGGCTGCCTCTGTTGATATAGGATTTCAGCCCTGCCAAAATCACTTTCTGGTGTTCCTCCAGATTGTTATTGAGACACTTGATAAGATGTCTCTTTCCATGACAGATGTGAAAGCATTTGTCTCCCATTTTATGACAGGTACATTTCTAGCATCACTCATTGCTGCATATTTATATAGGTTAGTATTCCAGAGATAGAAACCAAGCCGTATATATGTATAATTTATACACAATCTTCCGCTTCTCCTGTTGTTTGAAATTCAAGATACTATCTCGTGAATGTTTATAATCTTGAACAGGCAGAGCTCTAGGCAAAACATACCCTGATGCTGTCTTCTCTGAATCAACAGTGGAGACTTGTCAGACAAATGATTTTAGATCAAAGGAAAAGATTTAAAGAAACAAGGAAAGAATGAATACACTCATACAGTATTCCTCTGACTAGTGGAGTGTAGGTGGTATTAGTATCTAGAATTTTACATGTAGAATTTACAAACTATACACATGTGCAGTTAGGGACTTTACTGAGTTTATTTTTTAAAATTAGTTATTCTTTACATGGCAACTGGCTTCAGGAGTAAATCACCTGGCTTCAAAGTATAATTCAACATGAATGGATGGACTTTAAATGAAACTGTGTACAAATACAGAGGAAGATGCATATATTATAAATTATTTTTAAAACTACTCTGAGCAGGGCATTTCCAGGCCAGCTTACTGAACCATTCTTGTGGATGTTATGTTTTTCAGGGACATGTAATCAGCGAGTACTGACTTTCTCTCCCATCCTTCATCTTATTAATGTGCTGCTTGAATAAAAGATGTGGCCACTGATCCAGTAGGAAATGCGCATCTGGTTTCCATCACCAATTGAGATGTTTAGAACTGCATGATTCCATCAATTCCCTGTCTTGGCTATTCCCACCCAAGGGCTCAAGATCACTCTCAAGTAACTAGCGTACTCAAAAAAGCAGTTTCAATCTTCTCTTACAGATTACATTATGGAAGACATATGCTTGCTCAGTGTAAGAAGCATTATTTTAGTATAAATTCTAAGAATATAAGTACAGACATTGATATAGGTTCAGCTGTTGACGTAGGCAGAGGCAGAGATGGCTTTGAAGTAGATTTGCTCCTTATGAATCCCTCTTTTCTTTCCTACAAATTCTGTGACTTCAGTTAACTGATCTTGATAAATGTCGTCCTGGCAAAATGCGAACTATATTAGACCCAGCCTCATAGGATTCTCCTCAGTAGTAAACAGGTTCATGCAAGTGGGATCACTGGCAAACAGTAACATACAAGATAAATATTAATTATTGTTAAATACACACTATGGAAAGTGTAATGTTAGAACTAAACTTTTCATTTACCTTCTTCTGAAAACCTTAATACAGATACGTGTTCTCCTCCTCTGCCCACCTCTCAATACATACCAATACACCAAATTCAATCAATCCAGCATTTTTAGTTACTTATCCACTCATAGTCCTCATCACCAAACCATCACCACTACCACCACCACACCCATAGGCACCACCAAGTACCTTTGCTTATGTGTCTTTCTGAAATGCTTTCCTCTCCCTACTCGTTATTTAGCTGGCTAATTCCTATTATTCTCTGTGATTTTCCTTAGGTATGACCTCCATAAAGAACCTTCATATCATCTTGCCCTGCATGAAATATATTAGAAGCCTTTGCTCTGGTCTTTCATGGTACTTTTAAAGGATATTATCATTTACAAAATGGAATACCAATGACTTTTCACAAGTGGTCTATCAACTAAGCATGTACTTAAGTAAATATTTTCAGAGGATTTCATTAACCTCTGAGTGAATAGTTGAAAAAAAAGAATGAAACAGATATAAGTCCATGTTTTTATTTGTAAATAAATGTATTGCCAAAATTACATACAAATAACAAATAATGTCTCGAGTGACATGCAATGATCAAAATCCTCAAAAGAATACTTTTGTTTAGTAGAGATTTGAACAAATAAACTACAATTTAAGGAGACTGTTGTATTTCTTTTGAGATAACCCCATAAGTTTTACATTCTGTATCAAGGCATCCATTTGCAGTAATAAAGATTCAAGGCTTATCCCTAAAAGGCAATGCCCATTCTTTATAGTCAATATGATCCTGCTAGCACATAAAGCCTGAAGAAATAACAGATACTAGATTTAAAACCACTTTACTAAAATTAATCCATGGTGATGATATGGAAGAAAACCACAGGAGTCTTGAGAAAATAAACTAGCTGCTGTCTGGTTGATACCAGAAATAGAGATTGGTATAAGGAAAAAATTAAAAGAAAGAAGTATCACAAATAAGAATGATTGATACTTATTAGAAACATATCTGGAAATAGATGATTAGGAATATTAAAAATAAAAATGAAGAGGTATATATGATGCCACTGAAGAAACAAGCAAAATTCAAATGAATAAAAGGTAAACAAGAAATCAGGAAATAAAAAAAGTCCAATAAAATCTGAAAAGGGAAAGAAGGCACAAAGTAAGTATCAATAAAGAAACCACAATATCATTACTGCAAAGTCAGAGGTCAAAACATCATAGCTATAGAAACCTTAAAGAGACTTTTTAAAATATATCATTTCTAAGAGGCCATAATATACAATAAGTTACAAATATAAAAATGTTTTAATATTTACAATTTAACGTACATGTAGACAATAAAGTTATGGGAAAAGAAACAAAAGACAACAAAAGTAACATCCCTACTTATGTACACTCACTATGCTTTCACGGTACATACTTTTACTTTCCAAACCCTAACAATTATATAGCATTTCACACAATAAAATTTTATATAGCATATCTGAATTACTTCAAAGCTTAATGCGGATTTAAATAATAAAACTTTACTATTTTGATCATAAATTAAGCAAATGAGACTAAAATGACATTTTTTATTTTCAACTTAATGGTTATTTAATAATCACTGCACTCCTTGGGGATGTTAACATTGTAGAACTCGACAAATTAACAAGATAGTTCTAGGTTGACTCTATTTTCTCTTAAATATTAAATTTATGATTTGCTAAAAAAAAAAAAAAACCTCTAATAAGGACACAGAACTTATAGTTTGCCAGTTTGTGTTACAAGAACTTTCTACACTGAGGAAGATATGAACACTAGTTATCACACTCCAAACACTCTGCTTCCTGCACATACCATCTCCTGCATTGCCTATTTTTTCTAGCAAAGCACTTAGTAATCACTTGTATATGTTTAATTGTGGAAGTCTTAAAGCTGTAATAATTTATATTGTGTAAAATAGAAAGGACGTGAATTCAGTACATCAGGGATGGAAAATATGCTCTTACTCATTCTCCTGTGGCTGAAGTAGAAATCAGTAGTATGTATGTAAACCTTTTTTTCCTGAGCCTCAAAATTCCTCTCAATGCTCAGTTCCAGGCAGCCATTACCAATTGCTAAGAGTTAGCATATGGGTGAAAATTGATTTGACATCTCTAGTTAGAATATGAAATGCTGGCGTATAAATTATAGGTCAAGAGATCACAGGTATCTGGATAAGCAATATCATTCAGTTACAAAAAAAAATTGGTGTGCAGGGTTAATATGAAATCTGAGAACTATGTAAACCATTTCTCAGAGATTAAAGCCATGATATAGTTACAATGTAGCCAAAACTGGCTGTGGAACATAGAGAACTCGTAAGTGTTACTGTCTTAGATAGCTGGAACGATCACTGAGACTACTCTTTTATATGTTAACTTGTTTACTGCTCACAGCAAACTTATATGTTGAGTACTATGATTATCATCTACCTATCCTCAATTAAAACACATGTACCCTAAAACTTAAAGTATAATAATAATAAAATAAAAACAAAACAAACAAAAAGAAAACAAAGAGATCTTATTATCATCCCCAAGTTAAACTGCATAACAAAAGGTAGAGGTGGGATTTTTAACTAATTTATCTTCAGAGTAAGTGTCTCTACTAACTTCTATACTTTCTGTTGCCTATGCAAGTCTGTTATAGAAATCAAATAAGAACATGTGGGTAAAAGTGAGTTTAAACCACTAGCAGATGTAAGGAGTTGATATTAATAATGAATCCATGAAACATGCAGGGGGGTTAAAGGTTGGGTTTGCAAATAAGAGGTTTGTGTTTGTTTGTTGTTGTTCTTTTTTTTGAGATAGAGTCTCGCTGTATCACCAGGCTGGAGTGCAGTGGTGCGATACCAGCTTACTGCAACCTCGTCCTCCCGGGTTCATGCCATTCTCCTGCGTCAGCCTCTTGAGTAGCTGGGACTACAGGTGCGTGCCACCATGCCTGGCTAATTTTTTGTATTTATTGTAGAGACAGGATTTAACCACGTTAGCCAAGTTGATCTTGATCTCCTGACTTTGTGATCCACCCACCTTGGCCTCCCAAAGTGCTGGGATTACAGGTATGAGCCATGGCACTTGGCCTTTTGTTTTGCTTTGTTTTGTTGAGACAGAGTCTCACTCTGTCACCAGGCTGTAGTGCAGCAGCATTATCTCAGCTGACTGCAACCTCCACCTCCTGGGTTCAAGCGATCCTCCTGCCTCAGCCTCCCAAGTAGCTGGGACTACAGGTGCGTGCCACAACGCCCAGCTAATTTTTTGTATTTTTAGTAGAGACAGGGTTTCACCACATTGGCCAAGATGCTGTTGATCTCTTGCCCTCATGATCTGCCTGCCTTGGCCTCCCAAAGTGCAGGGATTACAAGCATGAGCTACCGTGCTGGGCCAAGAGTCCATTTTAATATGTGGGTATGCTGTGGCCATTCAGTCAGTAAGTGCTGAAAATATCAGAAGACTTTATTTCACTGGAGTAATATTTGAATTTTAACACTTTGTTATATTATCCTCAAGAAACCAAACAGGGAGTCAATGCCAACATCTCAGTGATTTTCTACTGATACCTGACTACCAATCTTCTGTTGCTTCATCTGCTTTATACTTTACCAGGAACTCCTTGAAGGTAGGGACCATGATCTTTACAGTAGGTATTGATAGAGTAGGTATTCTATAAATAGGTGTTAAATGAATAAGTGAGTTAATCGTAATTATATTTACATTGACTTTTACTCAGACAAAATGCCAGCGTCATTTTTGGAGGGCTTGCCTTTAAACTTGAGTCTCTGAACTTGTGCTAGCAATATTTTTACAAAAACAGAAGCCTGCAGATATCCAACCCCCATACCCCCAACACACATACACATGACCCTTTCCCTATAGTAGCTTTCATCACAACTCTGAGGGTGAAGAAAGCAGGGCTTAAGTTGCATGTTCCTTAAAATATGCATCTCTACTGAGCAGAAGAGAAATTGGTTATGACAGTTGTTAGAATACAAGTAAAGAGTATATTTCTAGCTGAAAAGATGTCTAAATAATGTCTCAAATTTTAAAGAAACAGGCTCAATGTATCAATTAATTAAGGGCAAGCCAGTTATAACACAGCAGTTAGTAAACAGTGTAGAACTGGAAGACTATTTTCTGGAAAATCAAAACTCATTTATACATTTTTTTCCCTTGCTTTTCTAAGTATGTGTTTTGAAAAAAAATACACCATCCTTTTATCTAGGTTTTCAGTAATATAAAATTAAATGCCTTCAAGTGTTAAAAATTCCTGACAAGATACAAACAAAGACTAGTTATTTTTTGCAAGTTTTTTTTTTTTATTATTGGCACCTTTAAGAACTATTTCAATGTAATTGTCAACTGATTCAGAACCGTCATTTTAAAAATAATTCCATATACCTATAGGTGCACTATTAAATTGGGCAACAGATGGTAAAATACTTAAAAAATAAAGGAGCTCATCTTGAAATTGAATCACAAAGAGATACTGTTATTATCACAAAATTATAAACATATAACCATAATTAAAAGTAACACTTGAGATAAATCCTGTTGCCATATGCAAACATGTTTGTGGTTAGGGACTAACACATTCAAATACCCAACAGCAGATTCTGATGTATTCCTGAGTAAATTTTCAACTTTGAGGGTGCCAATTGTTTCTTTCCTTGATAATTTTACTGTTTTGTTTCTCTTTTGAAAAAAAGAATGACTATAGAGTTTAGCACTGTATTTGAGATGTTGCTCAAAAATAAATAACTCCTGACATGGAGTTATAGGCTGGAGTGTAGTATATTTTAACCTCACAGTTTGGTTATTTTTATGCTGGTTTAGATGTTTCTAAAAATTTTAAGTGTCAAACCACATAAATTTCAAATGTCCCTTACAGCCATTTAGACGTTTTTCTCATTACCGATGAGTAAAAATCATTTTTGGAGGCAGCAGTATAAGGGCTTCACTTTCTCATTTACCCTAGATATGAGTTTGTTTCATTCCCATTTTTTATAGGCAATAATGCAGCTGTGCTAGACATTTGCCAATTGTTACTCTTTTTTGTGTGCACACAGGAACTGACTGGGATTTAACAGTCCAACACTCAGGCAAACTATTCTCCCTATCCACAAATCCCCACAGGAAAAAGATACCAGATCCTTCTTAATATTTCTGTGTGCCAGTATTCTCCAGGACTTTGCTAGTTGTTCAACTATTTTCTGAGTCCACAGTAAAAAGAAAGAACCTGGAACAGAGACCGTCAAGCTTCCCACCCTAGACCCCAACACACAGCATGATAGTCATGTAGTGAACAAACAAAAAATGTGAAATGGACTGTGGATGAGAAACAAATGTGGGTATTATTTCTCTCACTCCCCCTCCTCTTCCCTCAAGGGAGAATTAACAAATGAATAGGAGGAGGGTTAAGACACACCATAGCTCAGTTCTACTCCAGTTTCTTTTATGTAAACTCTAAGATTATTGTATTTTGTAAATATTATCCTTGGAGACCTTGTGATATTGATGTGAGCTGATGTCAGGAACAGGTCGAGTTGGGGAGTTGGGATGGGGTATAGATGCCAAAAGCCACACCCAGGAGCAGAAACTAGCAGGTATTCAGTGACATCAACACAGAAACAGGGCCTGAAATATTTCAAGGCACGTTGATTACCACCAAGATGGTGAACTAGCAAGGCCACAAGCTACCCCCTCCAAAATTAACTCTGGAAAAACTATAGAAAATAGAGGAAAAAATGGATTTCAGGAAATAAATTTAAGAATATAAATAAAAACAGAAATCCCTGACATGTCTTGAGGAGTCCAAAGGCACTGTTTAAGTATTGTGGATGTCAAGGGGGAATAAGGGGAAAGTGGAAGCAGGATGGGCAGAGAGTGGATAAGCTAACAGTAAGAGGATTGGTTGGAGAAAAGCTTTTACGTTTTTCTTATCCCCCATTCTACCTTGCCATCCCATGTTACCTTGAGACAGTCTTTGTCCCTTCATTACAGGAATCAGCTGTGCCAGACTGAATCTTCCAGCACAGATGTTCTCGGAATAAGGACAGAATGAAAGGAAGTAGGGATGAGGAGCTAGTGAAAGTAGGTATGGACTCACCAGCTGGCCTTGAGCGCTGATTCCTTCATATTCCCCCATCCTCTTATAAACTATGCAAGCTGCCTCCTCATATGAAGCTGTTGCCTAAAGCTTGAATTTTTAATACCTTCCCAGATTATTTTTGTATGAGGCACAGCAAATGGAGGTGATCAAAATAGATTTTGTATGAGTCTTCTGCCTTATCCTTAATTCACCAGGATTGACACAGAGCTAGACCTGGCCTTACATAGCTCCTTCCTCAATGCACATAACCTAACAGAGCAGCTGATATACTAGAGAAACACGAATTTGGAAGCTTAAATAACACCACCCTATACATTTGAAGACTACCGTACTTCAAAAGGAAACTAGATAACATACACTATTTAAAACAGAACTAATGTAACAGAGGAATCATTTAGAATATTTATAGTAAATATCAAAAAAGATAGGATATTGGCATGATACAAGAAAAACAAATTATAAACTATAAATTGGGTGTAAAATATATTAATTGAAATAAGGAATACATTGGTAAGTATGCAGAGAAATCCAGCTTGGAGGGGGCAGGGAACAGTGAATTAAAAGACTAGATTGAATCTCTATCCTAGAAGACATCAGAAAAAAGAATGAAGGGAAAAATCTATTTCTATCTATACAGATAGATAGAGATACGGATATATATAATGACAACTAAGAGATGTGGTAGAATTGAAACCGTTAGTATATATGCTAGGTAGGCATAAGAAAAGGAGAGAAGATTTTAAAAATATGAGAAAAGAGCTGAAAGCGTGGAAATAAAGCCAGTATTAAAATAAAAACACCTCGAGATTGAACTGTTAAGGAGAAAAAAAAATTCAAATTTAGATTATGGAACATTTTAAGAAGAAAGAAAATGAGAATATTATAAATACAAAGAGAAAAAGCAGGTTACTTCTAATAGAACAAGAATCAGTGTGAAAGGAGACTAGTAATAATAAAAATAATGGGGGGAAGGAAGAAACTTTCAAAGGTAATGGAAATGTCTGTGGCCTTAGTGGTGATAATTTCTCGGTGGTACACTTATTCCCAAACTCATCAAGTTTCATACATTAAATACATGTAGCTGTTCACATACATTATACCACAATAAAATGTTTAAAAAAATCAGAGTGACATCAAAGTTTTCATTAGTGACCCTTGATAAGAAAAAAATGAAACTCTTTTGTACTGAAGAAAAATAACTTTGAACTAAATTTTCAATCAAGTGTGGATTGCAATAAAAATATTTGCACACACAGAAAGTCACAAATAATTTGCTGCATGAAATGAAACACTTTTAGGAGGAAATGCTGGAGATATGAGAATTAAGGGTATTCAAGTGTTTTGATAAAATTTATTATTGTTCATAATAAAGGTAAAATCAAAGAAACAGAAATGATAATATATACACAAAATAAAATTTAATACAAATAACTTTTGGTGACTGGAAATGGAGGGGTGAAATGGGGGACATAAGGAAGGATAAAAGTACTTGTCTTGTTGGGGAAGTATATAGAAAATGATGTATTTAAGAAGGTAATTGCAAAAAATAAGCATGAATATAGGTCTTTAACAGCAACAACCTAAGAAATAAAAATAAAATTACCAATTCCTAAATCAGCCAAAGAAAGTATTATTGATGAAATAAAAAGGGAATCAAGAGAGATTACAATAAATAGAATATATAAGTAAAATGCCTAATAAATCCTAATTAATATTACATTAAAAATGTGTTAAATCACTTAGTACATATAGATACACTTTTTAAATTTTTTAAAGCAGTTTTAGGTTCACAGAACAATTGAGCAGAAAGTACGGAGTTCCCATATATGCACTACTCCCACATATGCATAGCCTCCCATTATCAACATCCCTCACCACAGTGGTACATGTTACAATTGATGAACCTACATTAACACATCATTACCACCCAGAGCCCCATAGTTTACATTAGGGCTCACTCTTGGTATTCTATAATGACATGTATTCTTGTATCCACTATTATAATTTCAATTGCTCTAAAACCATCTGTGAGGCCAGGCGAGGTGGCTCAGGCCTGTAATCCCAGCACTTTGGGAGGCCGAGGCGAGCGGATCAGGAGGTCAGGAGATCGAGACCATCCTGGCTAACAAGGTGAAACCCCATCTCTACTAAAAATACGAAAAATTAGCCGGGCGTGGTAGCGGGCGCCTGTAGTCCCAGCTACTCGGGAGGCTGAGGCAGGAGAATGGCGTGAACCTGGAAGGCGGAGCTTGCAGTGAGCTGAGATCACACCACTGCACTGCAGCCTGGGCCACAGAGTGAGACTCCGTCCAAAACAAAAAAAAAAAAGAGCAAAAAAACACCCCTCTGTGCTCTATGTATTCCTCCCTACCCCCAACTCTTGGCAACTACTAATCTTTTTTTACTTTTTTACCATAGTTTTACCTTTTCCCAGAATGTCATGCCATATAGCTGGAATTATATAGTATGTAGCTTTTCAGGATTAGTCTTTCACTTACTAATGTGAATTTAAGATTCCTCCATGTTTTTCATGGCTCGATGGTTCATTTCACTTTAGCACTGAATACTGCTCCATTGTCTGCATGAACCACAATTTACCCATTCACTTACTCAACAACATTTTGGTTGCTTCCAAGTTGTGTCAAAAATGAGTATAACAACCATTCTATAAACAACCATGTTCAGGTTTTTGTGTGACATGTTCAGGTTTTGTGTGTTTTGTTTTCAGTTCTTTTTGGTAAATACCAAGGAACATAACTGCTGGATCACATGGTAAGAATATGTTGTTTTCTTAAAAAAAAAAAAAAAAAAAAAAAAAGTGACATTGCCTCATCCACACCCATGGGCAAATTCACTAAACATGAGACTTGCTGCAAAAAAAATTTAGTTGTCATTGTCTCACGGTTACCTGGCCAATAATTAAAACAAAGATGTGCTTTCCTTGAGAATCTGAAAATATGTATATCTTAACACAAACTTTTAATGTTTAATATTGCTTTATTATTTTTCCCAATTTATAAAAGCAATACTTAATTATTGTAATTATCTCAAAAGTTCAGTAAAACATTTTAAACCTCGGAGAAAAATTTTCTCACAGTTCTACCGCCAAATGTCAAGCTTCACAAATACCCAAATGTATCTTCATCTCGTCCTTCCAGGTATCTCATGTAGAAGGCCAAGACTACATTTGTAAGCACAACTTTACAATAAATTTTTTCATAAATTATTAAAACTGTTTGCAGGATATGTATACCATGATTTACTTAACTGTTCTAATGTTGAAATATCTTTGTACATAAATATATGTCTGATTTGGGATTACTTCTGTAGTTTAGGTTCTTAGAAGTGATATCTCTTGATACATGTTGTCAAGTTGATTTCCAGAAAGCTTATACTAATTTACACTTCCATTAGCATTATATGAGAGTGTTTTTTCTTTTTCCCTTCATATATTCTCATGTGTTTCAGGAGCATCATTCAAACTGCTTGGCAATACTTATTTTTAATATTAAAATTTGGTATTTATACATCATGCTACACTTTTAAGGCACTTTTAAATATACCAGTCTGAACTATCTAATCAATACCATGTGGTAAAGAAATATTCTTACTACCAACTTCTAAATGATTTATTTCATTTGGTGGATTAATATTTAAATAGTAATCCCAAGATTCTAGCAACAATATTACAAGCCCACTGTCTACCTTGGGTTTTTTGTGTTTTAGGTCTTCCCCCCAAGCTTTATTGAATTATGATTGAAAAACCAAAAATTACATATTTAAGGTATACAATGTAGTATTTTGATATATGTATACCTCCTGTAATGATACCCACAATCAATCTAATTAACATATCGTTCACTTCACATAGAGACAATATTTTTACAGAACAGAAAACAGTAAAACTGCTGGGTTCTAGTAGTGCTGACAGAAACTGAAGATTGTTGCTGCCCACTGAAAGGGGCAGCCTTCTCAGACTGTGGTGGCCTGTGGGCCAGTAGCACCAGCATTAGCACAATATAGGACCAGCCCAAACCTACCATTGCAGAGCCTTCAACTAACAGGATTTGTAGGTAATCTGTAGGCACTTTAAATTTTGAAAGCAACTGGATATATTGAACATTCTGATACATGATCCCAGGAAACAGAATCAAGGCTGTGGGAGTAATCCAGGTGAAGAATGAGTGTGGTCTGAACTAGAATAGTGATGGTAAGAATGGGGAGAGGAGAATGCATTTGAAAATATTTTGGATTTATAATTCATAGGTCTTGGTAACTAGAGTTTAAACAAGTATAAGAAGGAACCATAATAAAAAAAAAATATTAAAAAAAAGTCTGTTTTCTTACAACATTTCAGAGTTTTCCTCTCCTTTTTCCCCAAAGGAATGATAAGTTACTAAGTTCAGAGGACAGGGTGATTTAAGGCCATGGTCCAGCAAGTAAAACTTCTGCTGTGATGAGCAAACAGGTTAAAAGATTAAATTCCCTATTACATAATGCCTCTTTTCTTGTCTCTGGTCAGTTAACTCTTTGCAATCAATTACCTTCATGCTGTTGGAAGAATAAAATGTACCTGAAGTGTCCTATTCTTTATCCTTCTACCATAGAATGGCCTAATGTTGAGCTGCAACTACTCTGCTCAAGACTTTAGAAGAAACACTGTTTCCCCCCTCTATTCGACTCCCATTCCATTAGTTTTATCCTCACTTGCTGCTTCTCACCACTGAGAAGGCAAAATATCAAGGATCAGGATAATGATGTGGGACTAAGTTGGGAGAAAAAGCAATCATTTAATTCTGCATTAGTTCAAAACAGTAAAATCTGACTACTTTTAGTCAAAACAACTTCTCAGTTGCTAGGTATTTCACAAAAGAGTTTGATGCCAAACCCTCCGTTAATAATATCCAGAGTGATTTTTTTTTCCCTCCAGATCATCTCCTGTACACCTCTCACTCTATAATTTGTGCTAAAAGTAAATAATGCTTTCTGCACTTGGGCATGAATAAATAGCTAGTACTATACCTGCCATCCCACTGTAAATAAAAAGAACATGGACATGACGGACGAACAACAGCTTTAAGACAATGGGCAACAAGAGGTGCTTAAGTGTGAGCTGAGAAAATAAAAAATAGCAAAGTAAGCCCTTTAACCTACAAGTTTTATACCTGGAAGCACTTTCCACTGTAAATACAAAGAGAATCCAAGTAGAACACAGTAATCTCACGGTAAGTTTTCATACATACAGTATCATACTTATAAGACGAAGCACTTTCCCCTTAAGATCTGGTTTAGTCATGGATATTTACTGTTAGTTCAAGTCAATACTGCAATAATGTCCTAGTGATACAGGAGATAGAAAGAAAATACTTAGGCAGATAGTGAGGGTAAAAGAAGTCCTCGGCAAGGCTTCCCCTTTCAACAAAAAGCAGCCCCCAAATCATTTCTTTTATAACAAAGAGCAGCCTGAAAAATCGAGCTCCAAGCATAAATAACCAAGCTTGAAGCTTGCACAGATGAATGCCAACATCTGCGCCAATAGAAAAAGGCTACCTAAGGGCGAGGCATGTTCAACATGGAGGCTCCATTTTCCCTTTTCTTTGCCACCACGTGTGCAGTAAAGAACCAGGCAACATGGCACCAGCCAGGTAGACAACTCATCTGCATAATAAAAGATTGGGATGGGGAGGTGAGCTGCTTCAAGCATTATGCAAATGGAACACCTCATCTGACCAATCTTTCGTGCCATATGTAAATCAGACACTGCCTCCTCAAGCTCATCTTTAAAACCTTTTACATTTCACTATAGAAGTGGTAACCCATTTTCTACAGGACCCCTCTCTGTAGCAAGAGAGCTTTTCTCTTTCTTTCACCTATTAAACTTCCACTTTGAACCTTACTCTTTTTTGTCACTTTCTAGTTTTCTGTGGCCACGGGAAAATGAACCTCGGGTATTACCCCAGACCAACGATGTCACTTCACTAAGCAGTGCAATCTTAAATACAGACCGAAAAGGAAAAAGTAAAATCTCTTTGCCAGTGTCAATGTTAAAAGTATAATAGTAATTCATATGGATTTTTAAAAATAATAAAAAGCCTGCTAAAATTAAGAAGTGAATTTAGTGTGATCACAGGATACAAGGTCAATATAAAATATAAATTGTATTTGAATATACTCACAACCAATAATTGGAATTAAGTGAAAAATGCATTAGCAGCATTAAAAATCATGATGACTTAGGCATGAATTTCATATGTGTAAGATCTTTACACTAAAATCTACAAAAGATGCCTGAGATAAATTAAAGACAACCAAAATAAATGAAGAAATGTACTATGGTCAAAGATTGGGAGACTTAATATTACTAAGAAGACAGAAGTTCTAAGTTAGATCACAGAAGTTCATATAAATTCCACTCAAAGCCAATTGTAAAAATTGATAAGCTATTAGTAAATTTATAGAGGCAAGCAAAAAACAAAGGAAAGGCAAAATAACTTTGAAAAAGAAAATGGTTAGAGGATTGACACTATTTTCAAGACTTATTATAAAGCTATAATAATCAAGACAGTATGGTATTGCTGTAAAAACAACACATTAATTAGTGTAAAAGAACAGAGAATCCAGAAGGAGACCCACACGTGTATGGTCAACTGAATTTTCAACAAAGTGTAAAAGTGACTCAATGGGAATAGGTAGGTTTTTCAACAAATGATTCTAGATATTCAACCTTCAACAAATGGTACTAGATTTTCTTTATAAACAACAAATGCTGGATATGTGATCAAAATAAAAATGACTCTTAATCTCTCCTATCATACACAAAAAATCATAGAAATGGATTATGTACCTAAATATAAACCTAAAATTATAAAACTAAAAGAAAACCAAACAATTGTAAACAGGCTATAAAAAAGATTACTTGGAAAGGACATAAAAAGCAGTAACTATAAGAGAAAAAAAATGACAGGTTGAATTTATCAAACTTAAAATTTTCCCACTCTTCAAAGTCACCATTAAACAAAAGAAATGCAAGCCTCAGACTGGGTACAAATATTTGCAATCTGGCAAATGATTTGCATCTAGAATATGTACACAATTCTTATTATTGAATAACAAGATCAGTGATTCAATTCAAAAGGAAATAAAGGATTTGAAGTGACACTACAAAAGATACATAAATGTCCGGTAAACACATAAAATGATATTCATCATAAAAAATTAAATTAAAACTAAAATGAGATTCCTCTAGTTCCCATTAAAACAGCTAATATTAGAAGACTGACCACACCGAGTTTTGGCAAGTGTATCTAGCAAGTGTAGTTCTCATGTATTGCTGTTGAGATTATAAAATGTTACAACCACTTTGGAAAAAAGTTTGGCAATTTCTTATAGAATTAATGATACACATTATATGTAGCAGACAGAGATGTGTATCTGAGATTTCCCTTCAAGAAAAGGCACATTACCCAGTTGCAAGGAGTGTGCTTAGTTGACATTTTCTAGCTGTAGCTCTGTAACAATCTGCCTTAACTTTCAAGATGAGGTCATGCTCTTCTCAGTGTGGAACCTAACCAAAGACTGAACAAGGATGTAATAGGAGCCTGGCCATTTCCGCATAATATAGGATTCCTTTAATTGAGGAGTTTTGATCCAGAGCTCTCTATTGGGGTGGCAGGGATCCTTTCAGGTTTATATTGCTGTCCTATATATTCCCCTACCCAATCCTGCTTCATTTCTTTCTTTTCATAGGTGTTACTCCCCAGTAAAACTTTGTACTCCTAACACCTTCCCAGTTTGTGAGTCCCAGAAAACCTAACCTATCCCAGTGGGGGCTAGATTAACCATCAACTAGCTGGGAATGAAGACTCCATTCCTCGCGGCAGATGGTGTAAAGAGAGCTCCTGGCAGAAGACAATAGTTCAGTTGTTAACTTTCACCTGTTGTGAGCTGGGATGATGGTGGTGAAAGAGCATGCCCTGGTGAATGTGATGATAAATATAAGGGAAATGGAACTGGATAATTATTCCCAAGTTGCCTTAATGCCTTATAGGCAAATAAATTAAAACTGAAGACAATTAACAAGCAATTGATAACTGAATATGAGAGTCAGATAGTACCTTCCTTAGCTTACAAACCAGCCTTCATTTCACATAGTGGCTGAGCATAAAAAAACTGAGGGGCAAGACAACTGAATGTAGGGGAAGACAGACAGAAATACAGACCTGAAAAGATTTCTGCCAGCCCAACGGGGAGCTCCATATCAACAATCCTCAATTAAGGAATCCCAGGTTGTGCAGAAATGGCTAGGCCCTCCTATTACTTCCTTGCTCAGCCAAGGCAGAAGTGTTATTCCAAAGTCAGAGCCCTCATTTGGAAAACCAGGGATGCTGACACAGAGGATGGGAGTATCTGAATACAAAACCCCAAAATATTTACTCCCCAAACGTACTCCAGCTTCTAGACCTACGAAAGTGGCCCGTTCCTGCCCATTTACATTAGCATGCTGTCTATGATGAAAATATCTAATTATTTCACCCAAAAGGCAAATGCAAACACTTCAGAATCTGCCCCCGCCTCCTCTCCTGGCTGCCTGTATAACCCTATAACTAGTGTTAGGTTAGAGTATAACCCATCCAACTACAAGCTGTGCCTGATAAAAAGAGATTAAGGACTTTATACCAAAAATGTTACTGCAGAGAATTCAACTCATAACATCGTATGGTTAAGTATTTCCACTCCTAGGTTTTTACCAAAGAAAATAAATAACTGAATTACCTGAGAAGCAAACATCAAGATGGGATATGCGCGGGAGATGAGAAGAAACACCCAAAAGGTAAAGGGCGGGTTATGTGGTGAGAAGTTTCAGGCCATAACACAGGTCTTACACCTGTGAAAAAAGAAAGTGAAGCAAGGATTTGGTAGAAATAACCTTGACTGCCATTTTGAGAGGACACCTAAGTAAATGTTGCATGTTAGGGTAGTCCTGCAATGGGTAAAAACAGCCAATGGTTCTACTCCTAGTCATTGGCTGGGAACAGCCAAGAATACATGTGAGATTGATATCAACATGAATGCCACTGCAGCAAATATAAAGGTAGGACATCGGGAAGCTGTCAGTCAGCTGTGCTCCCTGGGGCATTCTGTCCTGAAAGGAGAACTGAGCTATACAACTGCATGGCCATAAAAATAATGTAACTACCCAGAGAATTGTACACGAATGTTCATGGAAGTTTTATTCATAACACAAAGCAGCAAGCAATTCAAGTGTTTATCAGCAGGTGAATAGTTAAACACATTAGGGCATATCTTTACAATGAAATATTACTCCAAAATAAATTGGGACAAACTACTGTGCAAGAATATGGATGAATATCAACACTTACACTGCGTGAATATAGCCAGAGAAATAAGAAATTGCATTATATAATTCCATTTACCTGAAGTTCTAGAATATACAAAACTGATCTATAGCAGTAGATGTTTGATCAGTGATTGCTTATGGCAGGAATTGCAGGGGAATTCATTACAATGGGTCAGAAGAGAACCTTTGGGAGTGGTGAAATGTTCAAAATCATGATTGATACCATGATTATATGGATGTATACATTAGGTAAATTTATCAAGCTCTAAAAATGATTATGTCTTATTGTATGTAAATTACATCCCTATAAAGTATATTTTTTTAAAGTGGCTACTTCAACAGTTCTATACTAGGAACACAACTTATTTTTCTATTTCAACTAACCAAATTCAATTCAATAAGTATGGGGGTGATAGTAGATGATAGTTCCCACATGCCAACCCTTCAAACAAAAATAAAACTTTTGAAGTATATGTCATTATTCTATAAGTGAAGCATTGGAGACTAAGCAATATAAGTTATCTCACATGAAATCACACAATTCCTGTGGGGTAGAGCCAAGTCAATATAAAGCAAATTCAAAGCTCTTACATTCAGCTCTATTGCCTCATATTTTGATAGCATAATAGGAAGCCAGAAAATCCTTCCAAACATCAGTTGACATACGGGTCTTCAGTATGGTTCAAAAAAGAAAATTAAATCTGCTAATATCCTGAAATACTTATTATTTTGATTATCACCCTTGCGATTTAAGTGACATACTACTCAATTATATTAATACCCTACCCTAAACTGATGAAACTATTTTCTTTTAGAGTTGTTCATTAATAAATTCAGAATACTGCTCTTCTGAAATGCTGTTTCATCTGCTATTTACAGGATTCTTTAATACACTAAAGAGAGTTACAAACTTAATAGAAATAAAATGAGCTTTCAGGGCAGATTTGAAGATAGTTAAGGCCACTGATTTAAGAAGACAGTTGAGTATTAAAATGGTCTTGAGGACATAAGAAATGGGGGCCTTTGTATACACATGTCAAGAAGGCAAGCACCCAAAAGATAAATGATAATATGGAGGAAAATACAGATCAATACAATTGGAATTTTAAAAAAATCAAGAAGGCAATTTAAAAATGGATCTCAGGGTAAACAGGAATCAAGTGATTTATATAAACCAAGATAATGTGTATTTGTTCTTAGTTACGGTGAAAAGGCAAGTAAGTAACACTATAGGTATTGTAGCCCATGAATAAAAAGAAAAAATAAACTTCTATTTCAGTACAGTTAACCTTTAACAAGTGTTTCCAAATGTTAACATTCCTTTCTTCTTTGATGTACAAATCCTGCTTTATTTTTGTTTTTTATTTTTCAGTTACTACATCATTAGAGGGCCAAACCTGTACAGTTGTCCCTTCTTAAGAGACCCAGTGGATGTCTGAAACTACAAATAATACTGAGCCTGACGTCCATCAATTGAAACACGTTTCTGTTCATGTCTTCCACCTTTAAATGTAGTGACTCTTCCATCTCAACTAAGCATTTATCATGTACTATGGTCATAATTTTTGCAGTTTGAGTTATGACAGCAAAACTAGCACAAATTTCTTTTCTTCATAATTTTACACATAGTAGATTCATTCTTACTATAAATCTTAACAACCTCAACATATGGTGTTTTTACTTTCCTGACTAAGTCAAGAACTTTTACCTTTTCATGTAAAGAAAGCACTTTATGGGTTCTCTTTGACATATCCGAATTGGCAGCATCACTATTCTTGTGCTTTGGGGCCATCATTAAGTAAAATAAGTGTTACTTGAATGCAAGCACTGCAATAATGCGACAGTCAATCTGATAACCCACATGGCTACTAAGTGATTAAAGGGTGGTGAGACTAGACAGCATGGAAACACCACTGGACAAAGAGGGTGATTCGTGCCCTGGATAGAATGAAGTAGAATGGCACTAGATTTTATCATGCTACTCAGAACAGCAGGCAACTTAAAACTTATGAAATATTTGTGGAACTTTCCATTTAATACTTTTGGACTGCAGTTGACCATGGGTAACTGAAACTGTTGAACATTAAACTGAGGATAAGGGGTGAACCACAGTATTACTCATCAGTGATTACTGGTCAGTTGTTTTAGCTAGGATTTCAAGCTCCAAGTTTCCATTTGCGTTGAGGTCACATTAAATTTATACTTAGTTACTCCTTATGTATATCTGGACATGAGACCCTATTAGAAGACAATTCCAGTTTGATTTTTCTTAATTCAAAAAATGATTTGTTTAGTATATAGCAAAGAAATATTTACTGATTTTTGCCTCTGAATGACACATTTGATAAACATACTACTGCTGATGTAGAAAACTTAGATAACACAATCTGATTATTGGTGCAGAAAAGATTTTACCAAAAGCAATGGGGGTTGCTTGGCCTCCAAGGAAAGAAAGTCCTTAATCCTTCCACCCCTTCCCTTTTATTTTACTTTAGAAAGAAGAGTGTGTTAATACAATTGGCTAGAGTTTGAAATGCTCTTTGGCCAAATGTTTTCAGGTATAAGACCCAATAGAAATCTTTTGTCCTACATTGCATGACAGTAGCCTGTCACTCCTTTTCTGTCAGTTCTAGGTTTGGCTTTTCAATAAACACGTGTTGTAAGGTCTAGAATTCATGCTTGGATGTTGGGTAATATCCAGGAACCTTCTTCAGCCCAGATTGGCTGCTGGTAGAAGCAGTTTATGCCTCAGTGGTCTCACAGTAGGTTAGCGACAATCACCACAACCAAACAATGTGAGAAAAATTTTGCACCAATATGAGGGTCAGTTTCTAAATGCCTTAATTAGATAGTATACTCTTGAAATTATATCTGGAGGTCACACTTTGAAGGGAATCAGTTTCAGCAATTAAGCCAATGAGATTCACTGTTTATTGACTTACAGCTCCACAAAGCATCTAACAGTCTTGCACAGAATAGCACCTAATTAAATACTAGAGACCTACTTGTTGTTACATCAGCAAGCTGTGCTACTTCCTTAAAGCTTTGGAATTGGTAGAGATGATGTTGCTAATAGTGATATTTTATATTTTAATTTGAATCAAATTATTCATATAAAGTATACTATCTTTTATACTGACAATAGGCAATATTCTTTATATAATTTAACTATATTTGAAAGAGTTTTTACATTCATTATTTTATATAATCTTTGCAACAACTATGAAAAATTACATAGAAATGGCATTGACAGTCTCACTTTATAGTTCAAGAACTACAGATTTAAACAGGATAGGTAACATGCTACAGATAACCAGAAACACTTTGGGATATAAAAGAATCTGGATATAATTGGTCTTTTGGCTCTATGAGATATATTTCCAGTTCAGATTAAGAATGCCTCAGATAGATCTAGTAGCATGAAATAGGATCAGAAAATAATCATAAACTTCATTTTAAGTACTCTTTGGGTGCAAAAAGTATCCTGCTTTATCACAAATGTGTTTAAACTATCAGACATAGGAAAAATGATAAAACAAGAATAAAAGCAATGAGTCTGAGTGTGTTTGAAACGTGGAGTTAACAATAGTATCTAAGCGTATTATATTTTGTCTTATGTCTGACCCCCTGAAAGTAGAGCCTGAGATGGGATAATGTTATAAGCTATTTGTTGAGGAAATAAGGAAAGCGACTTAGGCTGTGGGAAAAGCCAGGCAAAGACGTGCCATGAGGAGAAGTCTAGTGTCCGTCTGATACTGGGTAGAGCTTAGGAGTATGCGTTGTGCCACAGAGGCTATATATCTTACAGGCAAGAGGACAGAGCCATTATATCCCCTATGTCTTTCCAGGCAAGGTGGCCCTCATCAGCCCCATCAAGTCTGAGAAGATGGTGCATGTATAAAAAGTTGGCAGCCAACATCTGTGGCTGGGGGCGAAAAAAGGGATCTGGGAGGATCTTCAACAGCTGCCTCAATGATTCATATGCTACCAGTCTGTGAAAAATTCATTTAAATTTATTTAATGGAAGTTACAGCAGAAGCTCCTACTTTTTTCTTTGGATACTGACATTTCTGTGCTAAATTTTCAAGTGTTACAGAAGAGTTTTATGTTGGATGAATAACTATTGCACAGAATTCATTGGAGAAATAAGGATCTGATTTTGAAATATTTGGAAGACATAAGAACCATCCTATTTTTCATTTGTGATAATTCTTAAAACTTAGTTAACTTCATTCCAGCAAAAATAAATAAATAAATAAAATAGAAGATTCAAACCATAGTTGTCTAAACATGCATGACGTGATCAAGTAAAATCATTACTAGTTAGTTTCTGGGAAATATTTAGATAAAGTATTTTCAGGGCATGTGCAGATGGTTATATTTGTAATTCACATTTAAATAACTTCAGAAAAAATAAAAATATTTTTAAAGACCCAGGAATTTAAGAACTATTATTCAGAAAACACAAACATTCATTTCAAGTACAAACGAAGAACTGATTATCAGATTTTTTTTTTAACCAACATGATAGAGGGCATTTTTAACATACCTCTCGCACTTGAAAAACCAAAATAGTATGTAGACACTCATGCTGTCAAAGTTTTTCCAGAAACACCCCAGGAACTTAACAGGAAAACCGAAAGAAACCACAGACCCTCTGATAGAAGCAGTGGGCTGCAGCCTACACTGTGAGCCAGGTGGAAAACTAACTCCCAGCCTGTGGGGGTGGGGCAACTGCCTCTGGGATATACACTCTCACTGGGGAACCTGGTAATCTAAACCTTGGGGGAAACCCTTATCCATACCCAGCCCTGGAGCCAATTTGGTGGGCAGTGGGGAGTATATGAGAAGGAACAGAATTGGGTCATGCTTTGTGTGCACTTCCAGACTACAGCAGGGATAGCAAGAAGCCATTCTTGAATCTAGTTCACAAGTGACCTTACGCGAGTTTGCCAGCTAAAACAGGAGGTCACTGGTTGAGAGAAGCTCCCAACTGAGATTCGTAATATGATCTTGAGCGGGGATGAACCCCCTCGGCCACAACTGAGGGGTGAATGAGAAGTGCACTATAGCTACAGTCACAGGAAACCCCTATAGTCCACTTCCCACTAGGACAGGTAGGGGTGTGTCCTGAAAGCTGCAGTTTCCATCTCAGCAGGAAAGGCTTATGGGCTGGGGCAGTTTCAAGTTCCGAGTGCAGACTGCCTGGAACCTAGCTAGCTGCTGCTAGTATAACACTGCAGATGTGAGATCTGACTTGCTAAGTGTGTGGCAGCTGAGTGGGGCTTACTGCCACCTGCTGCTCCCCATGCCCTCTGTGGACTCTTTTGTACAAGAGAAGCAGTTGTGCTCCTCCCTGGAACATTACTCCACTGACGAGAGAACTTCCCTTTGATTAGCACTGGGGCTGCTGCTTGCCCCTCATTTGGAGAGCCAGATCTGGCTTTGCCCCCGCCACCTGAACTGGTAGCTTAACAGAAAGGACAGAAACTTTAGGGAGCACTATGGCCCTGCACATTGTGCAATGTACCAGAGTACTTCCCCTGGGTAACATAAGGCAAACACACATCCCACTGCTACTACTGCAGCTGGTGAACTTTTGCAAGTACCACCTCATGCCTGGAGGCCAAGTTATGCAGTCCTTTACAGTATCCGTAGACAGAATAACACAACACCCAGAAAGGAGAAAACATGTGCATGACCTCAGCTATCACCATTGTCTGCATCACCCAGACTAAACAGGAGGTCCTGAGTTTGTCCATGTTATACCAGTTTATAACTACTACAAATGACATTTGAGAAAGCCAACACAATAAGGCTATTTATAACAAAGTAAATATCAGAGTCTGTGTCACTGCCCTGTCACCCCTATCAGAGCTCAGAGCTCTGATATCCTCTTGGTGTATCAAGCTTGTTATCCTCTGCTGGGAGACTTGAAGACAGGTCACATCACTGGGTCCCTTACAGACATTCCCCCATCACCAGCCTGGAGTGTGGCAGCCTTACTGGGCAGCTAGACCCAGAAAAGCAGCATGAATATCAGTAGTCTGGCCCTCAGGTACTCCTACTCCTAGGGGATGGGGAAGTACATCACAACAAGGAAACATCCTGTGAAACAAAATAATCCAGATGGCAAGCCTTGAGTCCCAGAATGTTCCAGTCGTAGGAAATTTGAGAGGCACAGGTGCAGTGCTGAGCTCAGTGGGGAAAATATGTGGCTTTACAACAATTATCAGGCAGCCTCACTCTGTCAAGGGCCTTGGAGAAGGGGACTTCTTCCCCTTGACCACCACTGCAGAAAAAGCTGGGGCTTCTTCCATGGGAGCTTCGCATAGGTGCACCTGTAGACAGCCTTTCTGGAACACTTCAGGGTGACTACATTCCCACAGAAGGAGTGCCCTCAAAGTTCTGGCTTGCATGAAGGGTAGAGTCACAATCCCTCTATAATGAAATAATAGCATTCCTCCAGATGAAAAAAGGTTTCTGTCTGATCTAAATAGCTAGAACACTAAGTCAGGAGTGTGACTGGGAGGCAAATTGCTTTCCTGCTGATCTGGCGGGGTGAGCTGAGGTGGCTCCCTCTCTTCCACTGATATTCCTCCAGCTGCCTCTGTCAAGGCTGGGACATCTACCCACCAATGGCTATTACATTTACCAACCTGCTTTAGCTACAGCTGGCTTTTACCCGTGGACACTCCTACTGGACTGAAGTCTAAACTGTTAAACCTAGTGAATAAAATACTGAAGGAAAAATAAAGAAAAAAGTGCACATCATTGGAAAAAGAGATAACCTCAATGAGACCTTTGCCATTCCAACCCCACAGGACACACAGTTGAAACTGCATACACACCAAGCACATTGCAACTATAAACAGCATCTAAGAAAGCCATTATAAGGAGACTCTCTATAACCGTAAAAAACATACACAGTCTTCACCCCTGAAAGTACCCAGTGCTGAATTAGGTTACAATTAACTATAAACATTAAAGTCATATCATCAAAAGGAATTAAATTTAAAAGTACAGTTGAATCAAATATAAAATTAAAAATAATTCGAATAGTCCACCCAAATGAGAAGAAATCAGAAAAATATTTCTGGAAATATGAAAGAAACAATGTTCTGTAACACTCCCCAAAATATCACCCTAGCTCTCCAGCAAGCAATCCAAACCAAGAGGAAATCTTTGAAGTACCAGATAAAGAATTCAAAAGGTTGATTTTTAAGTTACTCACAAGTGAAAACCAACAAAGAGATTAAAAAAAAAATTCAGTATATGAATGAAAAATTTTCTAAAGAGATAGATATTAAAAAAAATCAGAACTTCTAGAAATGAAAGACACATTTGGGTAATTACTAGATGCAGTAGACAGTTTTAAAAATAGATTAGGCCAAGTAGAATAAATACTTTCAGAGCTCAAAGACAAGGCATTCAAATTAACTCAAACAAAAATTTTAAAAAAGAAGTAAAATATACACAAAGTCTCCAAAAATATACGATTAGGTAAAATGGCCAAACCTAAGAATAACTGCTATAACTGAGTTAAAAGAAACAGCAAATATTTGGAAAATTTATCTGAGGAAAGCTTCCGTGGCCTTGCTAGAAATCTAGATATTCAAATACAAGAAGCTCAAAGAACTCCTGAGAGATTCATTGCAAAAAGGACATCACCAAGGCATATATTCATTGCATCTAAAGTTAACATGAAGGAAAGAATTCTAAGACAAGTGAGACAAAAGCATCAGATAACCTACAAAGGAAAACGTTTCAGACTAGCAGCAGATTTCTCATCAGAAGCCTTACAATCCAGAAAGGATTGGGGTCCTATCTTTATCTTTAGCATCCTTAAACAGAAAAAAAAATGTCAGCCAAGAATTTTGTATCTGGCAAAATTGTTTCATAAATGAAGGAGAAGTAAATTATTTTTCAGACAAGCAAATGCTGAGGGAATTTGCCAGTAACAGACCAGCCCCAGATGAAATGCTTAAAGGAGATCTAAATCTTGAAACAAAAGATCAATATGCACCAGAGTAGAACCACTTGGAAGTATAAAACTCACCAGTTCTATAAAACAGTAACATAGTGAGTTAAACAAAATAGTTAGCAATCAACATAATGACTGAAACAGTACCTCACGTCTCAATATTAATTTTAAATGTAATTGGTCTAAATGCTCCACCTATAAGACACAGATTGACAGAATGAATTTTTTTAAATCACAAATCAAATATCTGCATCTTCAAGAGACACACCTAACATATAAGGGTCCTTATAGACTCAAAGTTAAGAAGTAGAAAATAATGAAAACCAAAACAAGCAGAAGTAGCTATTCTTCTATCAGATAAAACAGACTTTAAAGCAACAACAGTAAAGACAAATAAGGTCATTATAAAATGATAAAATGATCAATCCAGCAAGAAGACATTACAATCCTAAATATATATGCAAGGAACTCTGGATTCGTTAAACAATTACTACTAGACCTAAGAAAAGAGATAGACAGCAAAACCATAATAGTGGAGGACTTCAAAACTCCACTTACTGCACTAGACAGATTAAGACAAAGTCAACAAAGAGAAAATGAAATTATACTCTAAAAGAAATGGACCTAACAAATATTTACAGAACATTCTTAGAGAACTGCAGAATACACATTCTTCTCATCAGCACATGGAACATTCTCCAAGATAGACCATATAATGGGCCACAAAACAAGTCTCAATAAATTTTTAAAAACTGAAATCCTATCAACTATCTTCTTAGACCACAGTGGAATAAAACTAGGCATCAAGTCCTACAGGAACCCCAAAAGTACACAAATACATGAAAATTAAACAATCTGCTCCTAAATGACTTTTGGGTAACAATGAAATCATGATGGAAATTTAAAACTTCTTTGAAATGGATGTTAAGAGTGAAACAAGTTATCAAAACCTCTGGGATATGGGGTCGCTTCCAAGATGGCCGAATAGGAACAGCTTTGGTCGGCAGCTCCCAGCGAGATCGACACGGAAGACGGGTGATTTCTGCATTTCCAACTCAGATACCTGGTTCGTCTCATTGGGACTGGTTGGACAGTAGGTGCAGCCCACGGAAGGTGAGCTGAAGTAGGGTGGGGCATCGCCTTACCTGGGAAGCACAAGGGGTCGGGGGATTTCCCTTTCCTAGCCAAGTAGCCAAGGCAAGCCGTGACAAACTGTACCTGGAGAAACGGTATGCTCCTGACCAAATACTGCACTTTTCCCACAGTCTTAGCAACCGGCAGACCAGGAGATACCCTCCCGTGCCTGGCTCAGTGGGTCCCACGCCCACGGAGCCTTGCTCACTGCTAACACAGCAGTCTGAGATCAACCTGGGATGCTGGAGCTTGGCAGTGGGAGGGTTGTCCACCATTGATGAGGCTTGAGTAGCTCACAGTGTAAACAAAGAGGCCAGAAAGCATGAACTGGGCAGAGCCCACTGCAGTTCAGCAAGGCCTACTGCCTCTATAGATTCCACCTCTGGGGGCAGGGCATAGCTGAAAAGGCAGCAGACAGCTTCTGCAGAATTAAACATCCCTGTCTGACAGCTCTGAAGAGAGCAGTGGTTCTCTCAGCATGGCGTTCAAGTTCCGAGAACAGACAGACTGCGTCCTCAAGCAGGTCTCTGACCCCTGTGTAGCCTGACTGGGAAATACCTCCCAGTAGGGGCTGACAGATACCTCAAACAGGCGGGTGTCCCTCTGGGAAGAAGCTTCCAGAGGAAGCATCAGGCAGCAAAATTTGCTGTTCTGCAGCCTCCACTGGTGATACTCAGGCAAACAGGGTCTGGAGTGGACCTCCAGCAAACTCCAACAGACCTGCACGGAGGGGTATGTCAGAAGGAAAATGAAAACAGAAAGGGATAGCATCAACATCAACAAAAAAGACGTCCACACAAAAACCCCATCTGTAGGTCACCAACATCAAAGACCAAAGGTAGATAAAACCACAAAGATGGGGAGAAACCAGAGCAGAAAAGCTGACAATTCCAAAAAACAGAGTGCCTCTTCTCCTCCAAAGGACCACAGCTCCTCACCAGCAAGGGAACAAAACTGGATGGAGAATGAGTTTGACAAGTTGACAGAAGTAGGCTTCAGAAGGTGGGTAATAACAAACTTCTCCAAGCTAAAGGAGCATGTTCTGACCCATGGCAACGAAGCTAAAAACCTTGAAAAAAGGTTAGAAGAATAGCTAACTAGAATAACAGTGTAGAGAAGACCTTAAATGACCTGATGGAGCTGAAAAACATGGCATGAGAACTACATGATGCATGCACAAGCTTCAATAGCCTATTCAATCAAGTGGAAGAAAGGATATCAGTGATTGAAGATCAAATTAATGAAATAAAGTGAGAAATAAAGTGAGACTAGAGAAAAAAGTGAAAGAAATGAACAAAACCTTCAAAAAATATGGGACTATGTGAAAAGACCAAATATACCCTTATTGGTGTACTGAAAAGTGACGGGGAGAATGGAACCAACTTAGAAAACGCTCTTCAGGATATTATCCAGGAGAACTTCCCCAACCTAGCAAGGTAGACCAACATTTAAATTCAGGAAATACAGAGAACACTACAAAGATACTCCTCAAGAACAACCCCAAGACACATAATTGTCAGATTCACCAAGGTTGAAATGAAGGAAAAAATGTTAAGGGCAGCCAGAGAGAAAGGTCGGGTTACCCACAAAGGGAAGCCCATCAGACTAACAGCGGATCTCTCTGCAGAAACTCTGCAAGTCAGAAGAGAGTGGGGTCCAGTATTCAACATTCTTAAAGAAAAGAATTTTCAACCCAGAATCTCATATCCAGCCAAACTAAGCTTCATAAGGAGAAATAAAATCCTTTACAGACAAGCAAATGCTGAGAGACTTTGTCACCACCAGGCCTGCCTTACAAGAGTTCATGAAGGAAGCACTAAACATGGAAGGGAACAACCAGTACCAGCCACTCCAAAAACATGCCAAATTGTAAAGACCATCGATGATAGGAAGAAACTGCATCAATTAACAGGCAAAATAACCAGCTAACACAATGACGGGATCAAATTCACACATAATATTAACCTTAAATGTAAATGGGCTAAATGCCCCAATTAAGAGACACAGACTGCCAAATTGGATAAAGAGTCAAGACCCATCAGTGTGCTGTATTCAGGAGACCCATCTCATGTGCAAAGACGCACATAGGCTCAAAATAAAGGAATGGAGGAAGATTTACCAAGCAAATGGAAAGCAAAAAAAAGCAAGGGTTGTAATACTAGTCTCTGATAAAACAGACTTTAAAGGAACAAAGATCAAAAGAGACAAAGAGGCCTTTACATAATGGTAAAGGATTCAATTCAACAAGAAGAGCTAACTGTCCTAAATATATATGCACCCAATACAGGAGCATCCAGATTCATAAAGCAAGTCCTTAGAGACCTACAAAGAGACTTAGAATCCCACATAATAATAATGGGAGACTTTAACACCCCACTGTCACTATTACACAGCTCAACGAGACAAAGTTAACAAGGATATCCAGGACTTGAACTCAGCTCTGGACCAAGCAGACATAATAGACATCTACAGAACCCTCCACCCCAAATCAACAGAATATACACTCTTCTCAGCACCACATTTATTCCAAAATTGACGACAAAATTGGTAGTTAAACACTCCTCAGATGTAAAAGAAGAAAACTCACAACCAACTGTCTCTCAGACCACAATGCAATCAAGTTAGAACTCAGGAGTAGGAATCTCACTCAAAACTGCACAACTACATGGAAACTAAACAATCTGCTCCTGAATGACTACTGGGTAAATAATGGAATGAAGGCAGAAATAAAGATGTTCTTTGAAACCAATGAGAACAAAGACACAACAGACCAGAATCTCTGGGACACATTTAAAGCAATGTGTAGAGGGAAATTTATAGCACTAAATGCCCACAAGAGAAAGCAGGAGATATCTAAAGTCAACACCCTAACAACACAATTAAAAGAACTAGAGAAGCAAGAGCAAACACATTCAAAAGCTAGCAGAAGACAAGAAATAACTAAGATCAGAGCAGAACTCAAGGAGATAGAGACAGAAAAAAAACCCTTCAAAAAAATCAATGAATCCAGGAGCTGGTTTTTTGCAAAGATCAACAAAATAGATAGACCTCTAGCAAGACTAATAAAGAAGAAAAGTGAGAAGAATCAAATAGACTCAATAAAAATTGATAAAGGGGATATCACCACCCATCCCACAGAAATACAAACCAGCATTAGAGAATACTATAAACACCTCTATACAAATACCGTAGAAAATCTAGAAGAAATGGATAAATTCCTGGACATATACACTCTCCCAAGACTAAACCAGGAAGAAGTTGAATCCCTGAATAGACCAATAACAGGTTCTGAAATTGAGGCAATAATTAATAGCCTACCCACCAAAAAAAGTCCAGGACCAGACGGATTCACAGCCGAATTCTACCAGAGGTATAAAGAGGGGCTGGTTCCATTCCTTCTGAAACTTTTTCAATCAATAGAAGAAAAATGGAATCCTCCCTAACTCATTTTATGAGGCTAGCATCATCCTGATACCAAAGCCTAGTAGAGACACACAAAAAAAAGAGAATTTTAAGCCAATATCCCCGATGAACATCCATGCAAAAATCCTCAATAAAATACTGGCAAACTGAATCCAGCAGCACATCAAAAAGCTTATCCACCACAATCAAGTAGGCTTCATCCCTGGGATGCAAGGCTGGCTCAACATATGCAAATCAATAAACGTAATCCATCACATAAACAGAACCAATGACAAAAGATCACATGATTATCTCAATAGACGCAGAAAAGGCCTTTGACAAAATTCAACAGCCCTTCATGCTAAAAACTCTCAATAACTTACGTATTGATGGAATGTATCTCAAAATAATAAGAGCTATTTATAACAAACTCACAGCCAATATCATACTGAATGGGCAAAAATTGGAAGCATTCCCTTTGAAAACCAACACAAGGCAAAGATGCCCCCTCTCATCACTCTTATTCAACATAGTGTTGGATGTTCTGGCCAAGGCAATCAGGCAAGAAAAAGGAATAAAGGGCATTCGATTAGGAAAAGAGGAAGTCAAATTGTCTCTGTTTGCAGATGATATGGTTGTATATTTAGAAAACACCATCATCTCAGTCCAAAATCCCCTTAATATGATAAGTAACTTCAGCAAAGTCTCAGGATAGAAAACCAATGTGCAAAAATCACAAGCATTCCTATACACCAATAATAGAGAGCCAAATCATGAGTGAACTCCTATTCACAATTACTACAAAGAGAATAAAATACTTAGGAATCCAACTTAGAAGGGATGTGAAAGACCTCTTCAAGGAGAACTACAAACCTCTGCTCAACGAAATCAAAGAGGACATAAACAAATGAAAGAACATTCCATGCTCATGGATAGGAAGAATCAATGTTGTGAAAATGGCCATACTGCCCAAGGTAATTTACAGATTCAACGCTATCCCCCTCAAGCTACCAATGACTTTCTTCACAGAATTGGAAAAAGCTACTTTAAATTTCATATGGAACCAAAAAAGAGCCTGCATTGCCAAGACAATCCTAAGCAAAAAGAACAAAGCTGGAGGCATCACGCTACCTGACTTCAAACTATTCTACAAGGCTAGAGTAAACAAAACAGCATGGTACTGGTACCGAAACAGATATATAGACCAATGGAACAGAACAGAGGCCTCAGAAATACCACCACACATCTACAACCGTCTGATATTTGGCAAACCTGACAAAAACAAGCAATGGGGAAAGGACTCCCTATTTAATAAATGGTGCTGGGAGAATGGGCTAGCCATATGCAGAAAGCTGAAACCAGATCCCCTTCCTTACACCGTATACAAAAATTAACTCAAGATGGATTAAAGACTTAAATGTAAGACCTAACACCATAAAAACCCTAGAAGAAAACCTAGGCAATACCATTCAGGACATAGACATGGACAAGGACTTCATGACTAAAACACCAAAAGCAATGGCAACAACTTAAATATAAAACCCACAAATTTAAAGACCCTAGAAGAAAATCTAGGCAATATCATTCAGGGCATAGGCATGGGTGAATATTTTGTCATGAAATCACAAAAATCAATTGCAACAAAAGCAAAAATTGACAAATGGGATCTAATTAAACTAAAGACCTTCTGCAAAAGAAACAAAATATCAGAGTGAACAGACAACCTATAGAATGGGAGAAAATTTTTGCAATCTATCCATCTGACAAAGGTCTAATATCCAGAGTCTACAAGGAACTTAAACAAATTTACAAGAAAAAAAAAACAACCCCATTAAAAATTGGGCAAAGTATATGAACAGACACTTCTCAAAAAAAGACATACATGCTGCCAACAAACATATGAAAAAAGCTCAACATCAATGATCATTAGATAAATGCAAATCAAAGCCACAATGAGATACCATCTCACACCACTCAGAATGGCAATTATTAAAAAGTCAAGAAACAACAGATGCTGGCAAGGTTATGGAGAAATAGGAATGCTTTTACACTGTTGGTGGGAATGTAAATTAGTTCAACCATTGTGGAAGCTACTCTGGTGATTCCTCAAAGACTTATAACAGGAAATATTATTTGACCCAGCATTTCCATTACTGGGTATATACTCAAAGGAATATAAATCATTGTATTATAAAGATACATGTACATGTATGTTCATTGCAGCACTATTCACAATAGTAAAGACTTAGAACCAACCCAAATGCCCATCAATGATAGACTAGATAAAGAAAATGTGGTACATATACACCATGGAATACTATGCAGCCATAAAAAGGAATGAGATCATGTCCTTTGCAAGGACATGGATGAAGCTGGAAGTCATTATCCTCAGCAAACTAATGCAGAAACAGAAAATCAAACACCACATGTTGTTACTTATAAGTGGGAGCTGAACATATGGATGCATGGAGGGGAACAACACTTATTGGGGCCTGTCAGGGAGGGCAGGAGAGGGGAAAGCATTAGGGAAAAAGCTGATGCATGCTGAGCTTACTACCTCGGTCATTGGTTATTAGATACAGCAAACCACCATGGCACATGTTTACCTATGTAACAAACCTGCACCTCCTGCACATGTACCCTGGAATTTAAAAATAATAAAATAATTTTAAAAATATTGGTATGGATGTGGTGAAAATGCAATGCTTATACACTGTTGGTGGGAATGAAAATTAGTACAATCTCTGTGGAAAATAGTGTGAAGATTTCTCAAAGAACTAAAAATAGATCTACCATTTGATCTAGCAATGTCACTACTGGGTATCTATCCAACAGAAAATAGGTCATTATATGAAAAAGACATCTGTACATGTATGTTTACTGCAGCACAATTCACAGTTACAAAGATATGGAACCAACCTTATTGCCTATCACGTGATGAGTAGATAAAGAAAGTGTGTATATATACACACCATAAAATACTACTCAGCCATAAAAAAGAAAAAGATAATGTCTTTTGCAGCAACTTGGATAGAGCTGCAGGCCACTATTCTAAGTGAAGTAACACAGGATTGGAAAAGCAAATACCATCTGTTCTCACTTATAATTGGGAGCTAAGTTATGGGTATGCAAAGGCATACAGAATGGTATAACAAACATTGTAGACTCTGAAAAGGGTGGGTGGGAGGTGGGTGAGATATAAAAAATTACATATCGGGTACAATGTATACTACTCTGGAGATGAGTGCACTAAAATCTCAGATTTCCCTTCTATACAATTCATCCAGGTAACCAACAATCACTTGTACTCCTAAAGCTTTCAAAATTGAAAAAAGAACTGATAATTAATTATTCTATTTAATTCTCTATATAAAGACAACCTAAAATAAAATGGAATTACATAAATCCTATTATAGAATTAACATAAAAAATCCATATCTTACAGATTTCATAGACAGAATCTCAAATCTGTTTTGCTTTTTAAAAATCTAACAAAGGAAGTATGAGATTAAATTAATACATTCAAAATCGAATTCTGGTTATTTGTTTAGAAGTAGGAAAAGAAACACAATTTCTATTTAAACAGATGGGAAGAACTACAGAAATGAAGTTACAGATTGATGGAGAATCTTTCATTTATTCATTCATTCATTCATTCATTCAACAAATAATCATGGACAATCTGCAATATGCCAGGCATTTTCCTAGTCTGAGAAATGCATGAATCGCAAAACAAGCAATACTCCCTGCCCTTATAGACCGTATTTTTTTTTGAGTGTACAGAAAATGGCACTACAAATAAATAAAATATAAGACATTTTAGATGGTGACAGAAGCCCAAAAGAAAAAGGAAATTATTGATGGTGGAGAGAAGAATGACACAATTTTTAATAGACCGGCCACTGACACAGTGGTAAATAGTTGTTAGACAGCAAGCCATGCAAATATGTGAAGAGAAAGCTGTAAAGCACCGGAAACTAGTACAAAGTCGCTGAGGTGGGATCATGCCTAGTATGTTGGTTGAGCAGCAATGAAGCCAGTGTGGCTGAGTTGAGTGCGCAGAGGCAGAATGGGATGGCTGCCTCTAGGGAGTGAAGGGACAGCATTGAAGGATATTGTACAGGTTTATTCTTTTGGTCTAAGAATAGGAGAAATTGGAAAGTTTTAAACAAAAGATGAATGAGATCTGATCTATATTTTAACATGACCATTCTGGCTGCTGATTTGAAAATGGCAGGAACATAGTAAGACCAACCAGTTAGAAGTCTCTTGGAATACTCTAGTTAATAGAGAGTGGACTAGAGCAGGATGGTAGCAGTAGAGATGGCAAGTAGTGAACTGAACCTAAACAGAGTTTTAAAGAAGTATCAAGAAGATTTGCTGACTTTATGGGGTACAAGACAAAAAGAGAGTCAAAACAAAACAAAAAACGCTGGTGTTTTGGTTTGAATTACAGAGGGATTGGAATTGCCATTTATTGACATAGAGAAGACAGGTTTAGTGGGGAAGGGAGAACAAGAGTTCAGTTTTGGACATAGTAAATTTGATACACAGATTCGAAATTCAAATAGAGTTGTCAAACAGGCAATTGAATATTTAAATCCAGAATCTGGAATTCCATTCAGCCTCATTCCTTCTACTGATTTCCATTCAGAAACAGTTTTCCCTCTTTGCCATCTATAAAAACCAATGCTCTAGTACTGCACTTTAATTCCATGAAACCATTTCTGAAGGAAGCGATGACATTATTTTGTACTAATATTGGATTTGGAGACACAATTGGCTAAAAACAGAAAAATTACAATTCTGGCAGGATCGATTCATGTCAAGTGTTCTCAAACACTTTCTAACAATTTTATTGTGAGATAAAATATAAGGTAGCACTAGTAGTAAAATAGTGTGAATTTAAATGACTATCCTCTTACAACTGAAATTAAGAAATTTACTCTTCAAATATGTGAAGATAATGTTTTATTTGTTTAAGGAAAGATGTGCACAATATATTTGTGTTGAAAACAGATTATGCATATTTTGGCATGATATGTTTTGATAAGATACATATTTGAGTATGTGTCTGCATGTAATAGGAAGTTGAATGAATCTTTTTCCTTTATCTTAGTACCATGTCAATTTCAAGAATCATCTCAAAGCTAGCAGAGTAAATGTTATTTAACTGACCTTTTCAAAGAGAGCAGCCAAAGTCACCATACACAGTCCTGCAGTTTTTGTTTTAAGGCTGCAGAATGTTGTCTCTACCATCACATCACTACCTTTACTTGTCTGTGTAAACAAAAAGTTAGAAATTTGAAAATCACCATAGCCTAAAATGAGCTAAGTAAAAAGAGCTTTAAGACGTTTACTTATAGAGAGCACATATCCCTGTCAGTAAGAATAACTGGCAGGTTATTACCAGGTTGAAATTTGCTTTTAGCTTGAAATTTGCTGATCTGTCCTCTGAAAAAGAGAAAAGCAGCAAGCAGTTGGGGACATAGAGGATCTGGGCTTGAGTATCAGTGAAGTTTTAATGTTGCTAGGAGATGGCCTGACACCCACAGCTAAGACTCGGTGTTCTGTTGAACCTAAATTATATCACAGAACATCAGTATCACAGAAGGCCATTCTGTGATGATGGATCAAGACAGCAACAAGACCATTTCATAATCATCTCTGAACACAGGCAAATGAAGAACACTGTCCAAGCCACAATGATGAAATATCCTCCCAGCTTAGCTAATATGAGAGATGGTTTATTCTTTACCAAATATACCTTTAGCCGTGTCCCAGTTTTCTCTTTTTCTAGATAAAATGTATAATGATACCTAACCTTAGAATTACTCCTACTTGCTGACAGCATATAACACAGAGAAGAGCTCTACTTCCATAACCCTCCACAAAAATTACCTAATACAGGCCCAAATCCTGTAAGTCCTAACACATTCTTACCTAGACTCACACAGTTCCCTGTGGTGTACATTCTTTTTTGCTGCTATGAGCAATAAACCCAACTTGTTCAATTACCCATATGTTCCTGATGGTCTTTGGCTGGAGGGCAGTGATATACGCAAGGCTATCTGAACAAGAAAAGGAATTCTGGAGACAGAAGGAAGAAAAGGAGCAGCAATGAGGTACTTTCACTTCTTTAATTTAGCAAGGATGCTTTAGCTTCTTAGGGCAAATGCAAAGGCAGCCTGATAATTTGCCCTGCTTTTTCAATATCCTACCCAAGAGGGCTTATAGTCAGGCCAAATTAGCACAGAAGTTGGGAAGAGTAAACTTAACAACAGAGGAGGTTTAGGGGAAGTCAATGCAATATACCTCTTAACTCAGGGAGCTAGGCTGTTGGAAGGTTTCTTGAAAATTGGCCTAAGTACCCCCATGGGAAAGCCAACATGTAGAGGCTTAGACATATAGAGAGCTTCAAATGAAAGAGGGAAAATGTGGTAGAAACAGCAAGTAGAAGACTTTCCATTTTTTTTCCATGACTTATCTCAGTTCATACCATTCTTAAGCAAAATTTCTCCCATTGACCTAGGAGATATTACAAAAGTATCCAACAATTGATTTTCAAAAAACTTTTTGCAATTTATAATATTCAAAGAGATTACTAAATACTTGGAAAGCTGAAAAAAGTAACCCTTCCAAATGATATTTAAAATTAGTTTATCTGTGAAAGATACCATCAAGAGAAGAAGACAAACCACAGACTGGGAGAAAATAATTGCAAAAGACAAATTTGATAAACTGTTATCAAAAATATATGAATAACACTTAAAACTCAAAAAAATGAACAATCCAATTGAAAAATGGGCAAAAGACTTGAACAGATGCCTAACCAATAAATATATACAAAAGGCAAACATATGAAAAGACGTTCCGCATCACGTCATTAGGGAAAAGCACATTAAAACTAGGAATACAGCTACACACCTATTAGAATGTCCAAAATTCAGAATACTGACACCACCAAATACTGGTGATGATGTGGAGCAACAGTAACTCTCAGGCATTGCTGGTGAAAAGGCAAAATGGTACAGCAGTTTTGGAAGACAGTTGACAGTGGCTTAGAAAACCAAACATACTCTTACCACATGACCCCAAAAATCATAATCCTTGGTATTTACCCAAGTTAAAAACTTACGTCCACATAAACACTTGAACATGGAGGTTTATAGCTGCTTTATTCATAGTTGTTAAAACTTAGAAACAACCAAGATATTTTCACTGGGTATAAAAATTTAGGTTGTCAGTAGCATCTTCTAGAGTTTAAATGTAATTTTGTTATCATCTGGCTTACAGGATCTTTATTGAGAAGTCAACTATAAGTCTAGTTGTTGCTCCAATGAAATTTGCTTTTTCTCTTGCTGCTTTTATAAACGTATATACTTGCCTTTGGATCTCAACAGTTTTACCTAAATAGTCTTTTCCTCTTTGTCTCTTGCTAGATACCATGAATTAATATTGCTTTAATCACACATTTAGAAAAGTCTCACACATTACACCTTTGAGTGTTGTTTTTGTGATATGGTACATACGTATATATGCATGTATATATTATTTTCATCCATGCTTCCTAGCTCAAAACTCCTATAACCCTTGTTATGGTCTTTTTGTTATAGTGTTGGGGGCATTTTAGGCCTCAGAAGCAGATATCAGAAAATAAAATCTCTGATCTTCTCCTTCCCTCCTTTTTCTTACTTCTTTTTCTTCCCAAAGCAGAATTCTAATCTTCCCCCACCTTTCTATGAAGAATTTCTCTCATCTACTTTGATTGTTGGTCATAAAGATCCCCATTTCAGAAGGGGTTCTGTCCCATTCCTGGAGGGAGAAATGCTACTTGGAGAGGACAAGAAGAATCTAAACAGATAGGCCTTGCTGGGTTTCTGAACTCAGTCTGCCGCTATTGGACCATATCCATTTTGTCTAATCACATTCTACATGGTTGTCAATCATGCCTATCAATGACATCTCCAGAAAAGGCTCAAGAGGATGGAATTCTGAGATAGCTGAACACATGTAGACTTCTGCGGAGTATCATGCCTGAGGGGCCATGGAAGTTGTACACCCCTTCCCTGATACCTTGCCCTATGCGTCTCTTCATTTGTATCTTTAATATTGTTTATAATAAAACAGTAAATGCAAGTGCTTTCCTTAGTTCTGTGAGCCACTTTAGCAAATTAATTTAACCCAAAGAGGGGACCATGGGATCCCTAACTTGAAGCAAGTAGGCTAGAAGTTTCAGAGACCCAGACTTGTGACTGGTGTGTAAAGGGAAGGCAATCTTGTAAGACTGAGCCCTTAACTGGAAGGATCTGATACTATCTCCAGGTAAATAGTGTCAGAATTAAGTAGAGGACAACTAGCTGCTATCTGCTGCAGAACTGATTTCTTGCTCGGTGTGTCAGGGGAGAGCTCCACACTTTTGGTCACAGAAGTCTTCTGTGTTGATTGTTGTAGAAAAACAGTTTCTGTTTTTTGCCATTCATACTATCTTATTACTTCTTCTCTCCTGGACTACAATTACATATTTTAATTCATTAGGGCATATTGATCTATTAAGCTTATTTTTTGTAAGCTTGTTATCTTCCTATGCTACTGTCTCGATATTATGGTTAAAGTTTTTTTATTATGAATACATAACAGTTGTAAATATTTATGGGGTATATGTGATATTTTGATTCACACACACACCATGTGTAATGATCAAATCAGGGAAGTTGGGATATCCAACTCACATTGCTATTAATGTGAGTTAATAGTAATTTAATAGTAATTCATTGTATATTTCAAAATAACCAAAAGGGTAGAATTGGAATGTTTCTAACAGAAAGAAGTGATAAATGCCAGAGGTGATGCCTATACTTTTTAGATGACTAATTCTTATTTTGTCCAGTTTGCTGTTAATACCATCTACCAAGTTCTTAATTTTAGCTACTATAGCTTTCTGTACTTTTTGCCATTTCATTATTTTTATGAATTTTCTTTTCCAATTCCCATTTTTTCATCTGCTTTTTTTTTCTCATTTTATCATCCATTTTATTGAATAATCTCAGTTATTTCTAACCCTTATCTGTTTACTCCTGTCTTTGGATAATATGTGAGTATCCTTCAGTTGTTTCTTTTGGATAATGGTCATGCAACCTTTTATCAAAAGAATCATTGACAAATGTTTTTTAGTTTCCACCATGGAGAGTTCACCTCTCCATTAGGTGGATAGTGTAAATTGCTGGTTATGTCAATCTCCTAAAGGACTGAGTTGGTTTAGACCTGAATTAGTTTCAGTTAATATTTAGTCTACCTCTCATTTGTAACTTTCCTAAGATATGGTCCTTCGTGGCTTTCACTGAGAGCCCTGTGGGTCACTGCCTCCTCAGCCCTAAGAGACCAGAATAGGTTGAGTTCTGCTTTTTAGAGATGTTTTTAGCTTACCTCTTTAGCCTCTTATCCCACACAGGTTCAAAACTTAATCTACTGAAGGGGAAAATGCTGTGTTTGAGGCTGTTCAAGTTTGTTTATTTTTAGGACCCCAGCTTCCCCCGGCGAAAATGATCTGGTGGTTTTTATCCTCCACCAGTGTCTTCCAGCTTACCAGCTCCAATTCTAGCTCCTCTACCTCTAGGCACACCTAGAATCATCAGTAAATAACCCTCAACATATGTGCCTGTATACTGGCAATTCTATTTGTATCTTCCACTAATGATTTCGACTTTTATATGTTGTTTTTTGTTCTTTATCCTTTTGGATCTTTGCTTCCTAAACATCATGAGATGGTTTGAGATATCAGTCTGCCTTCTAGATAAGTACTGAATAATAGAAATATAATGTTTGCTGTATATAAAATTTGGAATTTTCTTATAACACATTTTAAAAAGTTAAGAAATATAAATTTTAATGTATTTTATCTATTCCATTAAATGAAAAATACAACCATATCAGCATTTATTATAAGTTATTAAAACATTTCATATGATTTTATCTTTGTACTAAATTTTGAAAAATCTAGTTTATAGCACATCTCAGTTTAAAGTAGCCACTTTTTTTTTTTTTTTTGAGAGGAAGTCTTACTCTGTCACCTAGGTTGGAGTACAGTGGTGCAATCTCAGCTCACTGCAGCCTCTGCCTCCCAGGTTCAAGCAATTCTCCTGCCTCAGCCACCCAAGTAACTGGGATTACAGATGCGTACCACCACGCCCAAGGTGATCCACCCACCTCAGCCTCCAAAAGTGCTGGGATTACAGGTGTGAGCCAGCACGCCCGGCCTAGAGTAGCCACATTCTTAAGTGCTGACAAGTTACATGTGGCTAGTGGTTACTGTATGGGAAAGCCAAATTTGCCCAATTCTAGAAACTTCCGACAACCTCTTTATTCAGCCTCATAGCTCAAAATTCAGCCAATGTCTTAGGAGACTGGTTATATCTGAATGTCACTGAACCATGTACAACTGTTCAAAGCTTTGCTGGATTCTTTTCCCCAGTTGCAGACCTCTATTTCCAACCCTGATTAATAGTCCTTAATCAGCCTAAGAAATATTTTTAAAAATGGCTCCAAAAGAAAATGTGTGCCAATTCTCAGTTCACCTCTGAAAAGTTTCCTTCCTCTCAAATTTTAGTTCAATCTTTTCTGCTTCTCACCTCTTTGATGCTTTTATTCTAATTTTCTGTTCTACTTTGTTTCTGTGAAGCATGACCTGCTTCAATTTGCTTCATCCTACCTGGGTGCCATTAGTTATAATACGTAAGTATAAAATTTCCTGTTAACATGGAAGGATTTTTTTTTTTTTTTAGTTTCAGAAAAAATATATTGCCTACAAAATAATTTTAATTTACAAAGTTCATGTTTGTTTCATCTGAAATATTTCTGAGTTGCCACCTTACAAACTGGATCAGGATATTGAGTTTTCTTGCTTTATCATCATAGGTTTAATACCTTGAATTTACAGGTACAGTTTATTAGGGTTCTCCAGAGGGACAGAACTAATAGGATATATGTAGAATATAAAAGGGTGTTTATTAGTGAGAACTGACTCACACAATCACAAAGCAAAGTCCCATGATAGGCCATCTGCAAGCTGGGGAAGAAAGAAGCCAGTACTGGCTCAGTCTGAGTCCAGAAGCCTCAAAAGCAGGGAAGCCTAAAGTGCAGCCTTCAGTCTATGACTGAAGGCCCAACAGGTCTGGGCAAACCATTGGGGTCCAGGAGTCCAAAGGCTGAAGATCCTGGAGTCTGATGTCCAAGGATGGAAGGAATTGAAGGAAGCATCCAGCAAGGAAGAAAGATGAAAGCCAAGAGACTCGCTAAGTTATCCGAGTTTCTTTGGCCTGCTTTGTTCTAGCCCTGCTGGCAGTCGATTGGATGGTGCCACCCACATTGAGGGTGAGTCTGCCTCTTCCAGTCCACTGACTCATATGTTAATGTCCTCTGGCTACACCCTCACAGACACACCCAGAAACAATACTTCGCCAGCTTTCTAGGCATCCTCAATCCAATCAAGTTCACACCTAATATTAACCATCACATAAAGGTATTTCCAAAAGCCTTGTGTCTATGATCATTTTAACAGAGTGATAAAAATGTTTTTGATGATAAAAATGATACTGAAATTGTGGGTTTTACCTTTTGTAAGTAGGTTTACAGAAATACTCTTATGACAATATTAAGATTTAATACTTAATTACTTGATTTAATTTTTCTGTTTAGAGAAACACTTTGTAAATGCATATCAATGGTCATAAGAAGGTTGCCCATTGTCATTGTTAGGGGTTATTATAAAACAAAACTCTACATTATTTATAGTTACTAAACATCTCCACCTTTGAAATTTAAGGGCAGCAGTTGTATCTCTACTGCACATTCTATCCATTACTTCTGAAAAGTAATTTAGCTTCATAGCATAGAGGTTATTCAGTTTGATAAGTATTAGTTAGGGTTCTGCACAGCAATACTACCAATAGAATATATATTTGCAATGTAGTACACTGAAGTCAGAGGTATAGTCTTGACTTGGGCTCTTTAAATATCCGAGACCCATTTTCTATTTCTCTCTCTTCATGCAGCTAAGCATGAAGTAGTGGGAACTAGGTAGATGTTACGTACGTGATCAGAGTCCCAGGGGTTAAAACATGGGACCTTTTACATCTGCCTATCCAGAAGTTAAGTAATTATCATGATTTCACATAGTATTTAATTGTAAAGATAATAGACATAGAGCTATTTTAAAGGCTAGCATGTCAGATAGACGAATGTTGACCTGAGAATCAAAATTGGCAGTAAAAATGGAAAGAAAATGAGTTTCCTAAGAAAATCAGTATATAAAATATTTCCCCTTGACATATGGTCTTTGGGTTTAAAAAAAGTATTTTTTTAAATCTCAGAAATAAATTACCTATAGCTAAACATCTGCCAAGTTAACCAGCCTTTAAAAAGGCTGACACTAAAGGATGACATTTCTGCTGTTTAAAACTTTGCCCTGTTAAAAACTGAAAGGGGAGAATTGAATTGCATCTTGCATTTTATTTGCCTAAAGTGCTTTTAATGACTAATTTGGTGTAGAATGGAGAGCTAGCATAATGTTCCTTATGTTTCTTCTTAGAGCTGGATTTTTCTAAAAATAAAATAACCCCCCCTTTTTCCTGCCCTTAATGAAATGTCAGGAGGTGAGCTATTTAGCAGTACATTAAGCAGAGTATTATCTACAAAGTTTCTCAAGTAAAGTGAAAAACATTGTGATTTGAAAAAAAAAAAAAAAAGACAATGTTACATGTACCTGGCCTAAGAAGATCACCAGTAGCCCAAAGCTAAATATTTGGCTTTTTAACTTTCAATTAGTCAGTGTGAAAAAGAAAATATATAACTTTTAAAAAGGGCTTTATGCTTAGTGATTAGTGTAACGGCCACCGTCCCATACTCCAGAGTATGGATTCTAAAGGCAATTTATCCTGCATACCAAATTTCATACAATTGTAGAAGCTGCCAGGGGCTTTATATTTAACAAAATTCTGATGCTGAATCTGGGTCATTTCAGAAAAAAAACAGTCATAATTGATGCATCTATCGTTTGTGTTCTGGAAGGCAACAGAATTTATTCCGGATGGTTCAAATGAGATTTAATGAAGGTACTACTTAGAGAGACATGGGCAGTATTAAGGGATTTTTTTTTTTTTTTTTTTTTGTGACTCAGTCTCACTCTGTTGCCCAGGCTGGAGTGCAATGGTGCAAACTCACCTCAGCCCACTGCAGCCTCCACCTCCGAGGTTCAAGAGAGGCCTGGGGAATCTCTAAAGGGTGTAAAGGCAACCAGTGACAAGCAACAGAGAAAACTCTGGGGGTGAAAAAAGGAGTGAAGAAATAGCATTAGCATATCTTCTGTGAGAGCTGAATCTAGGAAGATGATGGGCTTCATAGGAGTTACAGAGAAGAACTGAGGAGTACTTTCAAGTATATGGGGCACTGAAACAAGGAGGGAACAAGGAAGAAGAATCTCAAACTTTTTTTTTCCTGCACTGTGATCTCCTGTCTGTATCTCCCGTTGGCCAAACCAGGACTAGGCTTATAAACAAAATGTTTTAAAAATAAATTTTAAAACAAAAACAAGAACAAAAGCTTGATTTTAGAGTTTGTCAGTATCTGTGGGGTAATTACTCTCACTATGGCTAATTTCAGCCTACCAATATCTTAGCACGGAACGAGATTTGAGAAGAGATGCACAAAATTGACTGTTGCAAGCTAGTGAGTTGGCTACAGCGCACCACTGGTTAGGTGTAAACAAAAGCCAGCCTCCAAGGACTCCAGAGGATGCAATATGCAGTAGATTTAGAGCAAGGCAAAGAGTGGTGGAGAATGCAATGAAGGAGAATGCAATGATCAAACAAGGTAACCACATAACTGACAAACTCTATGACTTCCCCAGAATTTTTCTATACTTGATCCAGCTAGGACTTAAAGCTGATACAAATACAAATGAAAGTTTCTCTCCTACACTGATCTACCTCTTTAATGCCTAACTAGGAAAATATAGTTCTATTATATATGCAGCCACCAATTTCATAAGAAAAAACTTTTGATCCAATCTAAATAAAGCTAAGATTCAGAGACGAAAAGTAATTTAGTTGGAAGTTTAGCTTCTGGATAGGTTTGCAAAGGGAAAATACATATTAGGCTTTGAAACTGAGCTTTTTGATTTCTGATTTTTTAAAATGGAGAGGGGCAGTTAAGAAAGGTTTCAGTAAAATCCAGTGATAGAAGAAACGATTGCTGTTCTAGTTCTAAAAGTTTGTTCAGAGATCAACAGAAAAACTCAGTCTTTTACAAGTTACCTCCTTGACAAGGCTTACTGAATCATCCAAATGGCAGAAGTTATAACTAATGTCTACAGATCTTTTTAAACTTGAGTGGATGTACTTGAATAATCTGGCTCCAAAATATATTTTTTCTATGAAATTATAATCACAAATTAAACTATTTCATTCATTGAAAGTCTATGAGATATCAGGCCCTTTTATTTGTAATATGTATTGGGAGGTTAATATGGGACTCAGATTTGATTGAAGATGCAAAATGCCATGAAGAAACTAATTTGTGACATGTCCTCTCAAGTTGCAAATGGAAGATTTATGAGATTCTTTAAGTGTCTTAAATTTTGCTTTTAGACCCTTATTCTAAAGTATAATATAAATGAGTATAAATGAGTTAAGTTTGAGGAATTTGAGACAGACTATTTTTTAAAAGTGTTGTAAATTTACCTTTCCTTTGCAGAATGGGCTTTCCTGTCACCTCAATCTAGGTTAGAGGTGTTTTAAGGGAGCTCTACTGAGAATTTTCTGTAAATTTCTTGGCATTTGGGGAAAGGGGGATCTGCTAATCATGTTAATCAAGAGATGCGTCTTAAGAGATTTAAGGTTGAAAGGATGGGTCTATCAGCCTGTATTAGTCTATTCTCACACTGCTGATAAAGACATACTTGAGACTGGGTAATTTATAAAGAAAACGAGATTTAATGGATTCACAGTTCCAAGTGGCTGGGGAGGCCTCACAATCATGGCAGAAGGTGAAAGCCACATCTTACATGGCCATAGATGAGAGAGGAGTGAGAGCCAAGTAAAAGGGGAAACCTCTAATTAAACCATCAGGTCTCATGAGACTTATTCACCACGAGAACAGTATGGGGGAAACCGCCCCCATGATTCAATTATCTCCCACCTGTTCCCTCCCACAACATGTGGGAATTATGGGAGCTACAATTCAAGATGAGATTTGCATGGGGACACAGCCAAACCCTATCACAGCCCATGGCATGAAAGGAAGGGAGAGAGGATAACAGTATGAGTGAGCCCTATTTCTACCAATAGTGGGGACAAAAATGCATGAATATTACTCATGGGTCAGAGTGGGCATTCAGTAGAATAGGCTGAAGCCCTCAAGTTCTGCTTAAGGCAGTGATGTAAAGGTGATGTGACTTGACAGAGAAGACGGACTGCCCGATGCCCAAGGACTGAGAGAAGAAATGTAAGTGACCAGATGGAAAAAAGCAAAAACAAAAACATCATCTGCATCTTAGGAAGGACAGTCCAAGGCCACAAAAACACTAGAGAATGAGCATTGAATATCTACAAACCCCAGAAAGTCCTGATATTAAATCAGGACAAAATCTGACAAGTAATTACTGTTCTTAAGTATCCTTATTTAGCTCCAACTTCAGTACACTCAAATAATGGAGCAGTCAGAAACCATGGCTCACAGCAGGTAAAGAAATACAAAAAGAAGAAAAGCCAGCCAATCCCTTTTCCAACTATAGTCTTCTCAAGCATAAAGCAAGGTAAAAGTGGGAGAATAAATTTTAAGTTTTTACTGTTGCTTGAGAAAAAAATTAATTTCTAAAGGCAAGACTATTTTGTGATTTGAAGTGACTAAGTCTTTTAAGTATCAGAATAACTGAAAAAATGTTAGAGGCATAAAAAGCACAAATCAGAAAAGAAAGAAATATGACTATTACTATTTTTAAAGTAAGAAATCTTTGTAAGACATAACTGAATATAAAAAGAACTATCATAAGTTTACAGGGAAAGAGAATCAGCTAAATAGGAAAAAAATGGGAAAATGCCATTAAAAGGCATTTTGCAGAAAGTCTGAGTATAAAATATTTGAAAGATGCTCAACCCCTGCGATGAGGAGGGATATACAAATTATTAAATGAAATGCTATTTTACACATACTGGATATGCAAAAGAAAAGCCTGACAAATCAAGTGCTATTAAGAATGCAGAACAAGATAAATGTATATACTGCTGGTAGGAGGTATATTGATGCAACTTCGGAAAACTATGTGAATTATGTAGTTAAATTGATGTATTATACTGTTTCATTATAAGCAATGTGGAAATGTGAATCTCCAAATTCACTTATTTATCTGGTTTCATGTTCCAGTTTGCAACTTGAGAAATTTACATGTCATTTGGTTAGAGTCCTTGAAGAGCAAAATCAATAGTGCCAGTGGATTCCAGTTTTCTCTTTTTACTTCACTCTTCATCTACCCCAGCTCTCTGTTACCCATGGTGAATGTTTTTCTGCAACCGTACAGACACAACGTCCATGAAAACTCAACCAACTTCCTGTGAAATTGAATATCACAATGATGAGAATAAATATGTATTTGGTCTCTGCCCTTGGTTCCTGGCACACAAAATCCTTGGAATCTCCAAAGTAATAACTGTTTTTTAATATGAAATGATTAATGGCTAAGGGCTCTTTGGCTAGCCATGGGATGGGGGCTAGTTGCCAGGGGAAACAACCATGTGATTAGAAGTTTAGAACTTTCAGTCCCATCCCCTGACCTTCCAGGAGGGGAGAGTGATGGAAAGTTAAGTTAGTCACCAATGGCCGATAATTTAATCGAGCATGTCTACTTAATGAAGCCCACATAAAAAACAAAAAAATGAATCAGGAGAACCTCCAGATTCCTAAACATGTGGAAGTTCCTAAAGGGTCGTGCACCCAGAGGAGGCACAGAAGCCTGGTGCCCCTTCCAGCATGCCTTGTTCTATGCATATCTTCCATCTGGGTCCTTTGTGGTATCCTTTACAGTAAGTATGTAAACATCAATATTACCCTGAAATCTGTGAGCTGTTCTAGCAAATCGATCAAATCTGAGGTGAGCATGATAGGAACCCCAATGTATAGCCAGTTTGTCAGAAGCACAGATCACAACCTGGTACTTGTAATTGACATCTGAAGTCGGGAGCAGTCTTGGGGGGCTAGCTCTTGATATGGTTTGACTCTGTGTCCCCACCCAAATATCATCTCAAATTGTAATCCTGACACATTGAGGGACCTGGTGGGAGGTGACAGGATCATGGGGGCAGTTTCTCCCATGCTGTTCTCATGTAAGTAAAAGAGTTCTCACAAGATCTGATGGTTTAAAAGTGGTAGTTCCTCCCTTGCTCTCTCTTCCTGCCATGTGAAGAAGGTTCTTGCTTCCCCTTTGCCTTCTGCCGTGATTGTAAGTTTCCTGCTGCCTCCCCAGCCGTGTGGAACTATGAGTCAATTAAACTTTTTCTTCATAAATTACCCAGTCTCAGGTAGTCCTTTATAGCCATGTGAAAAGGGACCAATATAGCTCTTATCCCGTGGGATGTAATGCTTTGTTATCTCCAAGTAGATAGTGTCAGAATTAAGTTAAAATTGTAGGGCACCCGCTGATGTCTATGAAAACCAGTTGCTTGGTATTTGGAAGAAATACACATAAACACACACACACACACACACACACACGGTGTGAGAATTGTGTTGAGTAATCTTGTGAGGGAGGAAAATAAAAACCAAAACCTCTTTCCTCTGTCTCTGATACTTCCATAGATTTTTATCCCAAACCCCTTTGCTATTCCACTCCAGAAGCTGGATTTGCCTAGTTTCCTGTAGGCTTCAACTTTTTCAGACACATTAGGAGTAGTCAGTAACTTCTCTGAATGTTTTCTAGGTTTTCTTTCTCCAGCACTTCCTATATTTTAAAATTAATTCCTATGATAAATTATACATTCGATTATATAGTTCTGATATACTGATTGAATACAAACTGACCTATACATATATTTTATTTTGTAAATTCAAAGTGTCTATTTAGGAGTATTTCCTGTCCCTGTTAACCAGGAAACACAAAGGATCTATTTGCATTTTGGAATTCCACTGCAGCACACTTGTAATAAGACTGAATTCAACTCAAATACCTATCAAATATAAAACAAATAATGACATACATTTTAACGAAGAAAATTAACATAGCTGCCAAATCAACATGGTAAAATCCTAGGAAACATTGACATAAGAAGACAATTTATTTAGTGATTCAATTTATAAGAAGTTAATTGTCTTTAAAATGTAAATAATAGCTTTTTTGGCTGCATCTACATAGTCAGTAAAATGGTAAGAAAAATAAGTATAATGGCGATCATTAAATTCAGGATCAACGTTACCTCTGGAGAGAAAGACTGAAATAGAAACTGGGAAAGACTAAAAGATAGATGTTATAATTTGAATTGTAACCCCTGCCAAATTCATATGTTGAAGTCCTAACCCCCTGTACTTCAGAATGCAACCTTATTTGGAGATAGTCTTTACCAACATGACCAGGTTAAAGTGAGGCCATTAGGATCTGCCCTAATCCAAGATGACTGACCTCTTTAGAAAAAGAGGAAATTTGGACACGGTGACATATACACAGGGAAAACAAGGTGAAGATAGAAAGAAGATGGCCATTTCTAATCCAAAGAGAAAGGCCTGGAACACATTCTTACTTCACAGCCCTCAGAAAAAAAAAAAAAGCCCACCCTGCCAATACCTTAATCTCATACTTCTTGCCTCCAAAACTGAGATGATAGATTTCTATTGTTTAAGCCATCCAAACAATATGGCTTAAACAATTATGACAGCCCCAGCAAACAAATGCAATAGGTAAATGATATTCATTTTCATATTATTCTTTGTATCTTACTCTCATATTATCGATAGTTTTATAACTATTCCATATTTGATAGAAGTTAAAAAATATAAAATGTTCAGAAGAGAAATGTGATAGTTAATTTTATGATCAATGAGGTACCCATATATTTGGTTAAACATTCTTGGTGTGTTTTTATATTATTTTAGGTTCAGGGGTACACATGCAAGTTATATAGGTAACCTCATGTCACAGGGGTTTGTTGTACAGATTATTTTGATACCCAGGTACGAAGTCTAGTACCCAGTTGTTATTTTTACTAACCCCTTCTCTCCTCCCACCGTCAAGTAGGCCCCAGTGTCTGTTGTTCCCTTCTTTGTGTCCATGGATTCTCATCATTTAGCTCCCACTAAGTGAAAACATGCAGCATTTGGTTTTCTGTTCCTGTGTTAGTTTGCTAAGGACGATCACCTTCAGCTCCATCAATGTCACCTCAAAGGACATGATCTCATTCTTTTTTATGGCTGCATAGTATTCCATGGTGTATATGTACCACATTTTCTTTATCTAGTCTACCATCTATGGGCATTTAGGTTGATTCTATGTCTTTGCTATTGCAAATAGTGCTGCAATGAACATACGTGTGAATGTGTCTTTACGGTAGAACTGTATTCCTTCAAGTATACCAAGTAATGGGACTGCTGTGTCAAATGGTAGCACTGTTTTTAGCTCTTTAAGGGATCACCACACTGCTTTCCACAATGGTTGAACTAATTTACACCCCCACCAACAGTGGGATTGTGTTTGCATTTCTCCAATAATCAGAGATATCAAGCTTTTTTTCATATGGTTGTTGGCCTCATATATGTCTTCTTTTGGACATGTCTGTTCATGTCCTTTGCCCAGCTTTTAATGGAGGTGTTTTTCTCTTGTAAATGTAAGTTCCTTATAGATGCTAGGTATTAGACTTTTGTCAGATGCATGGTTTGCAAATATTTTCTCCTGTCCTTTAGGTTGTCTGTTCACTCTCTTGATAGTTTCTTTTCCTGTGCAGATGATCTTTAGTTTAGATCCCATTTTTCAATTTTTGTTCCTGTTGCAATTACTTTTGGCATCTTATAATGAAATCGTTGCCAGTTCTTATATCCAGAATGGTATTACCCAGGTTGTCTTCCAGGGTTTTTATAGTTCAGGGTTTTACATTTAATTCTTTAGTCCATCTTGAATTATTTTTCTGATTGAGATTCACATTTGACTCAGTAAAATGAGTCGACTAAATTCCCCTCTCCAGTGTAGGTGGGCCTCATTGAATTTTTTGAAGGCCTAAATTGAGCAGCAACAATAACAACAAACACTGAGTAACAGGATTTGCTCTCTCTGCCTGACTGAACTGGATTCAAGTCTTTTCCTGCTTTTAGATTCAGGCTTACACTGGAACTATGCCATCATCTCTTATTGGGTCTCCCAGCTTGCTAACTGCTAACTTAGCCTCCATAACTTCATGAGCCAATGAATCTGAATTATCTGAAGAACCTAGACTAATACTAAATGTATGTGGGATACTGTGTCTGGAGGGACAGTTCACATAAATAAGCTGCACTCATTAGACTCCATTGTAACAAATTACCTTTTCTTGAGCAATATCTGTACCTACTTTTCTTCCTTTATAAGACTCCTCTCTCTACCTTTTCTCTTCTCTTCTTCTCTTTTTTAGTTCATCTAGCACCGTGGAATGCCTCTGCCCAGGGACTGGAAGCCAGGAATTCTAAGAGCAGTGGTTTCCAAACTTGACTAATCAAAGCAGCTGGGTTGGGGGACATTTTAAACAATAAAAATTAAACATTCCTAAATTTGTAAAATGCTGTTGGCCAATTTCTGAAATTCTGTGCACATTTCACAATGTTCTTTACCTGGTCAAATTTCCTAATAGACAGAGTATGTCTCTGAAATCCCATAGCACTTATGTAACCACTTTTATGCATATCAAATTCTGTCTTGCATCATAATTATCTATTTAATGTTTCCTCTAGATATTAAGGTTTCTTGAAATCAGCCTTCATATTTGTGTGAAATATTTTTCCCAAAATAACAAGATGTTTTACATATACTGGGTTCACAATAAATTATTGGATTTATAGGTTAGAGAACTACAGAGTAGTGGAATTTTTAAGAATAGTTTGAAGCAGATCTCTTACAAGTAGACATGGAGGGGAAAAAGCAGAAAATGTATATAAACATGGCCTTAAATTAGTGTGATAAAAATGTTCAAATATATAACTCTATAGAATCATAACTAGTGTTTGATTTTTAGATGTGAAAAAATATTCATCTCTACAAATCATGTACTTAATCTGAGACTAATAGTATTTCTAATTTGTTGAGCACATTCCAGGTACACTAGACAATGTTCTAGGTATTTTATATTATTCAATATTTAATTCTCAAAACTCTGCAAGAAAAGTTATTAATTTGCATCTTATAGACGAAGAAACTGAGGGCTAGAACAATATTCTAATCACACAGATCAATTTAATAGACCTTTATATGGTCCCTGGTACAGTCATGTGAGGACCAGTAGCTTAGGCCAGTATACAGATTTTATCATAATGCAAATCAATTATGTACAAGGACCAATATTAGTCACTGAAATGCTAGAAGACTAGCCTTCAACTTCAAATTTCATTATCTCAAAAATGCATTCACTATAAAGATGTTCTGAGGTCACCCTCTCTGTACCAAATACTGTGCTAACCTGTTTATAGAAAGAGCTATCATGCATGTGTGCATTTATTACTTTGAGGAACTGCCTTAATTATTAATAATCCTATATATTCATCTGTAAGATAGGAAATATTTTACTCATCTCATATATAATTGTGACAAATAGTTTATAAAAACAAAAGCAGTTTGGAAAAAGCATGAATTACCAGGGGGAGAAATGCAAATAGTCCCTATAGTACTGGGTCCATACTTGAACTAGGCACATCTGCTTTAAAAGCATTTTTTCATAGTCACAACTCTGTCTTTTAATTTAAAACAAAGCTGCTAGTTTAAAACAAAGTCAGCATTAAAATAGTTTTTATATTAGAAATAAATGTGTGTTTTTCCCCAGAGAAAGCTTGATAAAATCCATCTAATTGTGCAGTCTTAACTTCCCATTATCACGTAACTGAAATTAGTAATGATAGGTGTTTAAAGAAGCAAATTCCAATTACTATTAACATAAGCAATTTATTATTCCAAATGTAATCAATGTAGCTATTAAACTACTGTGAACAGAATCATTATCAATGTGAATTACATTACTGCACCATAAACAGTCCATCAGATTTACTTTTGGTAAGTTTTTTGTACTTTGTATATTTATGTATTACATATGCTATACATGCATATGCAAATATGCCATTTGTGAACATTCACCTTTTTTACTTTCTTCCCTTTTGAAACTTAACAAAAGTAAAGAGAACATTACAGATTTATAAATCAGAAATGCCAACCAAATTATTTTTATTTTACTCTGAAACCTGTTGACTAAATATAACTGGCAGTGGCTTTCACATCCAATTTTAAGTCCTATCTCATTTCTATGATCATTATTTTACTTTTATAAAGAAGTATGACCTCATCATATTATCACTTAGATAAATGGAAGAATCTTTAAGTGAAGCATGGACTAAATTATGGTTTAAAGACATTTCAGATAGTCTTTGATATGGTTTGGCTGTGTCCCTACCCAAATCTCACTTTGAATTGTAATAATCCACACATGTCAATGGTGGGGCCAGGTGGAGATAACTGAATCATGGGAGCAGTTTCTTTCATGCTGTTCTCACAGTAATGATTAAGTCTCATGAGACCTGATGGTTTTATAAATAGGAGTTCCCCAGCACAAGCTCTCTTGCCTGCCGCCATGTAAGACGTGATTTTGTTCATTTGCTTTCT